>NC_000006.12:99010183-99161699 GCF_000001405.40 Homo sapiens | reverse complement strand
ACCCCCATAGATATTTAGGATATTTGAACATGTTTCAGTGTATAAGCCATGAGGAAAGCAACACACTCAGAATCTTGTCTAGAGGCCGTGCCTTTTGGTGATTTTATATGTCAGAAAGTTGTACAAGAGCCTCAAAAGTAGATATTCTAGGCTGTCGTAATCATCTGATGGAAGCAGTACCGTCTTATGCTGGTGGAGCAGGGAAGTGTGGAGGCACTCACAGGGGAGCAAGGGAGGAAGTAGAATCTGGTAACTTACCAAGGTCAAGGCAAGAGAAAAAGCACTTCGTTTTGTTTTATTTTTCTTAATTTGAACAGGGAAAGTTTAATATAAAGAATTATTATAGGAGATCAAAATGGTGAGAAATTAGCTAATAAGATGAAAAGAGAATTTAAGAATACAGGAATAGCAGTTACAGGAAACAGTTACTACCCGTCTCGTAGGGCTGAGATAGAGTGCCCATGGAAGACACCTCCCACTCTTCCTCAGCCCCAGGACTGAGATCCAGACTTTGTCGGAAAGAACAAGGCTGTGGCTCAGTGGATGCAGAGGAGTTGCTGAGATGCTGTGTCATCAGAACTTGTTGGAAATCCACCTTTCAGGATGAGCCTCCATGATCATACTCGTGGTAAAACCACTTGAGAGGGACCCGGGGGAACCTGCAGGAGCCCAGCACAGGAGAAGCCATGGGGACTGCCCCTCATTTTGTTTTTATGCCACAAAAGTACTCTAGGTATGAACTCGATGGTTTGTCAATCTTAATTTCTTCCTTGTTAGATAATCAAGCAGTTACTTTTTGCCAGGTAGCTTTGAGTCTCTGGGCAAATGGCAAAAAAAGATTGCAAAGTGTTTTCATATGATCCCATTTATAGGAGTCTTCCTTCAGCTGGAGGTTTTGTGCTCTGTTAAAATGCAAATGCCCTATAGAAGAAATGACATTTTAAGGCTGTTATTCCTCATTTCTACCTTGTACGTGAAAGTACTGTCTCCTTTCCAGATAGCAGGGTTTGATATGATAGTTGGGGGTGGGAGGGAGATGAGAGAACCCTGGACAGCTGAGCATTTTCGAAGGGGACACTCCCGCCCAGAACAGACGGTGGAGAATGGGAGCCTGGCGTACCAGCCATGATAGAGTCTACTTCACAGCTTTTGGGAACCCTGTCCTGACTGAGTTCCCTCAAAACATCAAATGCAAAATCCACTTTTTTTGTAGAACATTTCCCTTCTGTTTCTTCTCTTTTCTTACTTGCTTCAGGGAGGTTTATGGTTTGAAAAATTAAAGTGTGGATCTATTTTCATTACCAAAGGATTTGCAAAACTGAGCTGGGCCTGTCTGAGCTTGCATTTGCATTTGCCATCCCTTAAGCTGATTTTCAGTGCTGAGCAGCTATTTTAAATGTTTTCAAGAGCCTCCTTTTTAACTCTTTTCCTTACTTGAGTTATCTATTTCTGCAGTTAAAAAAATTCCATTGCTGATTCTTGGTGGAAAATCCCAATACCAGATGCCAACTGCAATAATGGGTAAGACTGTTTGCTCAGGGAATGATTGGGCAGTTGGAGCCAATATCCAAGGAGTGGCTCACCCTGAAAGGCTGGTTGGGGGCTGTAGATCTGGAGCTTCAGAGGATTTAGACAACTTCAAGGTTTCTTTATGGCTGGAGCAGTGATTAGCCCAGAGTTGGTATTTATTGAATACATGAATGGGCTAAAGGGAAAAATAATTGCTGGGAAAATGAGGAATTCTTCTTTATTCAATCATGCTAGGTCAATTACTTATTGGCTACCCATATCTTGAGAGATAGACTCTGAAGTCTTTTTTACAGTATGACCCTCATAATCTGGTACTTGTTTGTCTGTTCTGCCAGGCTTCCTTCCCTAGAATGGTTCACCTTTGTGTTTTCAGCAGGAATGCTGCTGAGGCTTCTTCTGTGAGGGTTTCCCTGATCCTTCTAGGAAATGGCTCTTCTGGGCTCCCATTGTACTTTGTATATACCCCATTAAGATGAAGGTCATCCTTTTTTAAATACTGTAATTTAATTGTTTGCTTGTCTGTCTCCCTACTACTACTAAAAATTTGTTACTTCCAGGCATCACCTGTTCATTTTTGAGGCCTTAATTGTTTGTCGAATGAATAAGTGAACTAGTGGCTATAAGCTATAAGCTATAAGCAGATTAGCAGAGCTGCATCTAAGTAGCCAGACGTGTTTATGGCTTTTCGGTTGGCTCTTGGGGCAGTTAGTGGTGTGCCCTTGTGTTTGGTGGTGAAGAACCAGTCATAAGAACTTTATACCAGAAGGCCAGCCCAATGCTGATTCCAGAATCAGTTGTTGTTAGTTCCAGTCCATGTGTTTCTGAAAAAATTATGATTATGGTTGACTTTTCATATTTTATTTGTGTATATTCTGTTTCTGTAAGTTCATTTCCTTTTCTTAGCAAACATTTTTTTCCTTTTTGGTAGTAACAGGCAGCTTTATTTATATGAAATTATACTTGAGAACCCAACCTATAAGGGAGAGAAAAAGTAGAGGTCTCTGGGTCAAAGCAGGGGCAGAGGGTGTGGAGCTTCCAAAATTGGTCCCTCTTCACCCTCTGTGGAGGTTAGACCCTCACACTCCAAGGAGCACAGTTTGAAAACCACTGATTTGGATTAAGGAATAAAATGAACGCAATGGGAATACATCTTTTCCTAATATATTAAGTAGAAACCCTTTGGCAACCAGGTTATATATTTACTAGGCCTTTCATACCACTCAAACCTCTGTACCTCAAAATCAGCTTTTACAGCTTAAAAATTGGTATTGAAATAGTTACTCAGGTTTAATTTTAGAAAACTCGGGTCAATCAATATGTATGACTTTTAAGTTTAATCCTTCCTTTGGGGATCACGGAAGCTCCTTCCAGCTCCAGCGCTCTTTGATTTTCTGATTGTGAAGGGCAAGGTGGGAAAGAAATAAACAAGGTGACTAGGTTTCAAGGGCTAGCTTTCTTGGCATGAATGAGTAATTGGAAAGCCAGCATAATCAAAGTAATTTCATCCATCATGTACAGAAAGGGAAATAGAATTCAGGTTATTAAGGTTGCATGAAACTGCTTTTTGAATGTATGTACATATTTCTTCCTAGGGGCTAGATAACGTTTCCCATTTTTATTTCTAAAACGAGTTATGGAAAATGACAACTGAAAATAAAACAGGAGCTATGGTCTCAAAGTAAAACTAGAATAATTCATTAAAGAAAAGAAAAGAGTCCTAGGTTTCCCTTTTAAAAGAACAAGCTCACAAACTAGAACACAGGATTTTAGCCCCTGAAGTGCACTCAGGCTAGGAGTCCTCCATGGTTCCTGTTTAGGATGGGGGCCGGCCCAAAGAGGTAATTGAGAACCTTAGTTCTTAGCCCATCAGACCTTTTGGATTTCACAATTGCCTAGGTCTGTGACCTTTTGGAGTTTGGGGAAAACACACAAAATGGGGGAATGCAGGAAAAGAGAACCTCTCTCTAGTCAAGGTAAGAGAGATGAAGAAAGAGCCAAGGAAGACCAGCTCCATAATGCAGAAGATAACTAGATTGCTAACTGGAAAGACAAGGAAGAACATTCTTGAAAGTAAACCAGCAGAGAAAGGCTACTGTGCAGACTCAATATTAGAATGGTAAATTTTCCCTGTGAGATATGGTTTTTTGTTTTTTTTTTTCTTCTTAAAGCGATCCAGGTTGACTTTCACTAACTCATAGGGAATTTGAGCCAAGGCATCTCCCAAAGCCTTGTTTACCTCATTCTTTTAAAAACTTATAAGATGGAGAATTTCCTTTGCATTGGAATAAAACACCCAAAATTGTAGGAACTTTGTCTGTTGTTCACAGTTGTGTCCCTAGCACCTAAGCAGTATAGTAGGTGCTCACAAAAAATTCTTGAACAAACAAATTAATGAATAAACATACTAACCTTTATGGCTCTTCTTTTCCCCTCTTTATTTTTCTTTATTTAAAAAAAAGGAAAGGAGATTGGAATCAGTAGAGAAAGTACATTCTAGGAAGCTATGGCATCTGGGGGCTGTTGAAGGTGGGTGGGAAGAGAAGGGTTGTATTTACCCAACATTAAATGGGCCCAGATTGCTGAGCCTCTGTTGTTCTGTTTCATCTATCATTATTAGTAGTTACTGCTCTCTGTTACCAGCCTGTTTAATTACAGCAGACTTCCCACTTTTCTCCCACTTAGTATTTCCAATTTGCTGCTTCCTGAAACCTAGGAAGAATTGAAAATTGTCTAGAGAATAAGCATGCCAAATTTGTTAAATCAGCGACCTTATTTTATATATATTTCTAAGTCATGGCCATGGGCATAGAAGCTTCTTTTTTAATTAAGAAGGAAAAATAAAAATATGTGAAAAGAAAGCCATAAAGGTCATTTTACACACATGTAACTCCATGCACGAATGCCAGTCCTTCCCCTTGTGTGTGCACTTGAGACTAGTTCTACTACTATCCTTCAAAACCCAAGTGCATGAATTCCATGAAGTTTTTCCCCATTATTCTCATTTTAATTTTCCTTCTCTGAACAACTATGACATTAATTTATTACTTAATCATGAATTATGGCATACAACTCCCTAATTGATGTTTGTGGGTTTTTTTCTCCCCCAGCTAGATTTTAATTTCCTTGAAGACAGAAGCCATGCTCTTACTGTGCTAGAATATCTGTCTCCCGTAGCTCCTGACACAGTGCTCTGTGTATAGAGGGTGCTTGTTGGCTCACCAATTTGTTCTTTACACCAAATGCCCAGGGAAATCTTACATAGAGTTTATACCAGGCAAGAAAAGGATATGCTAGATTCTCCAGCTGCCAAAGACTGGAATGTCACTGGTATCCAGTCACCACAATCTCTAGGTCCCTCATTTTGTTCTTGGTGAGAAAGGAGCACTAAGGAGATTTCGTCCTTGAAAAGGCAGAAAGCAAGTGTAGTATCATCTTGCCATCTAGCTTGGAAATTAACACTTGATCCTAAATTAGGTAATCTTCCCTTCACATCTCAGAGTTTTCCAGGCAACAGACACTCAGTACGAACAACAACAACAACAACAACAAAAATACCAAAACAAAAAATAAAACTCTGAAATCCAAGAAGTTGGTTATTTAACTATTGTTATTAATAGCTAGATATTTTGCATCTATCCCCTGGGGGCTGAAATAAACACTAGACATCTTAATTACATATAATGTCACTCTCTCTAACCCAATACATTCCACAGGATCCCTATATCCTATTTAATGAGACAATTTCTGGCTGCTGAATCTTTCTTCTTTCATCCTCACATCATATCTGGGTTTGCAAAAGCAGGAAACTTTAATAGCTCCTAAATGAGAGAGAGAGAGAGAAGAGGGAGAGGCTTGGCATTATTTCTAAAGTCTGACAAGCTTTATTTGATATTGTATTTTTACAAAAAAAGTTTCAGGTTCCCTGTAACTTTATTATTAATACTTTGAGGGTTCATGAATGATGACATAAAGATGATACAGCTAAAATATAACTTTGTTTGAAATATTTTTAGCTTAGTCCCTCACTTTTCTAATCTGTAGACCTCAAAATTATGGAAAACACCATAAATTCAGTTTTTCTTGTTAATATTAGCTCTTCATCTTTAGTTACAAGATTAAATTTTAATATGGAAAATTTGGAGTTTTCTTTTTTGTTTTTTGGAGACAGAGTTTTGCTCTTGTTGCCCAGGCTGGAGTGCAATGGTGCAATCTTGGCTCACTGCAACCTCTGCCTCCTGGATTCAACTGATTCTCCTGCCTCTGCCTCCCGAGTAGCTGAGATTATAGGCACTCACCCCCAGGCCCAGCTAATTTTTTTGTATTTTTAGTAGAGTCGGGGCTTCACCATGTTGGCCAGGCTGGTCTTGAACTCCTGACCTCAAGTGATCCACCCACCTTAGCCTCCCAAAGTGCTGGGATTACAGGTGTGAGCCACCGTGCCCGGCCTTTGGGTTTTGTTTTCATTGTATTTGGATTATAGTATTTATGGGGAAATTGTCTTTTACTGATTTGACACTAGATACATTGAAGACAGTGGAATTTTAGAGCTGTAAGGGATTTTGGCTGCTTGTCAGCATCACCTGGAGAGATGGATGCCAGAGACCCATCCCAAGAGATTCTAGCCCCGTAGATGTGTGGCAGGGCTCAGGCTCTGGGATTCTGATGTAGTTGGTCTCACCTGCAGTTTGGAACCATTGGCTTAGAATTTATTTTGTAGGATTCCAAAAAGATGGTATGTTGATCAGAAAGAGCCAGGTTTTCCCCCTAGATCTAAGCTACCTCTTGGTTTTAACTTTTAACACTTTTGGGGTTTATATTAATGACTTGAAACAAATATCATGCACTTTAAGTACATAAAAGTACTCTTGTCTGGCTATTATAAAAAATCATTGCTGTTCCTGAAGGTGTTTTTTATGTCCAACCAAAGAGTAGATAGCCATTATACTGGGAGAATCATACTCAAATTATCTTCTTGTTGTTTTTCAACAGAAGTGATCAATCCACTCGAGATAGAATTGATCTGATTTTGCCAATGAGGGAAGTGTGGATCATTTAGATTTTCCAAGAACCTTGATATTTTAATGAACGTCCTCTCTAAGGGCTGTCCAAAGGGAACCTTGCAGGAAGTCAATCTCTCTGAATAACTGAGGGTTACTCCAGACAGAGGCCATCTTCTTGCTCCTTTATGTCTTCCTGCCTGGCACATGGCTGCTCCTTAAGAAATACTTTTTAAGGAATAAATGGACCAGCCATAAGTCTCCTCTATGAATGTCTCTGCCTTTTTAGACTATATCAAATGTAGTTTAACTTTTTCGAAATGATGACTTAGGCCATCATGCTGAGCTCTAGTGCCCTCAGGGGTCTGTTGCACTATGTAGAATATTTTTATTCTGTGCTAAATGATCCTAAGCTCCTGTGATTTTTACTTCTTTTGTTCGCCTTCTATAGTTATTTTTTCCCCCATTTCTACCCTTGCTGTTAACCCATCAGCTGTCACTCATTACTGTTACTGATGTGCCTCTTCTAGTCCTCTTCTTTTAATTTGCTCCTTTTATTGGTCTATTCATTTGGAAACCACATCACTAAGCCTGTTAGAATTTCCAAAGAGGAAAGCTAGGCTCAGAGTAAAGAGCCTAGGAGATCCTTTTTCATAAGGTTCATTAATGAGGGTGGGCTCTGTGGTGTAGATGTTGGCTGCTCACAGGTCTCTTTTGTTTCTTGGTTCTCAGCTGTTTTCCAGTAAAGTTAGTGCTGAATAAAGTGCCAATGTTCCTTTAAAGGTAAGTGAGATTCCCGCCTTCTGTATTCTCATTTCTTGTACTTCTTGGGAATTAAAAGATGGTTGGTCAGCAATTTGGTCTGCATGCTTCTCTGGAAAGGAATTAGCTTGAAGTCCTGGGGAACCTGATGAAGCAGCTCAGGGCAGGTCTGGTGACCTAACTGAGGTCGAGATCCACTCTCCCTAGACCCATGAAGGTACATTTGAGCCTTTACAAAGGGGAAGAAGGAAGGGGAGAATTTCTACAACTGTGAGGAAAATAAGGCAGGTGTTTTGCCCTCATTTCTTACTTTCATTTTACAGATGAGGAAAGTAAAGCATTTGCTACAATGTGGCCACTGGGACTCAACTTTAAACTTTGCTAACATTAAATGCCTCCCGCTTTGCAATCTTATGGGCATTTCCAGCCCTCCTCTCATGTGATGGCATTCAAGGCTGGTGAGCATGTCCCCTGGAAACTTCTCCTTCCTGGGTTTTACAGTGACACTTGCCTCTCCTTGTCCTCCTCCTATCTCTTGGGCTGCTGCTTCTCCGTCTCAAGGCAAATTCCTCTTTCCTTTCCTGTCATCTGAAAATGGAGGTGCCCTCAAGCTTCATCCTTCACCTTCTTCTTTCCCTTCTTATATTTTCTCTGGTGATCACAGTCTAGCCTCCCTAATTTTATTTGCTTCTTATGAACAACAACGACAAGAACAACAACACAGAATCAAACCCTCTGGAGCAGTCACACAAGTACCTGGATTCCCGAGAGACCTTCAGGCGCTTCCCCAGGCCCTCCTCCACCCACCTGCCTGCTTCCATTCTCCATGCTCATTGGCCATTGTGGCTACTCTGCCTGCTTTGGCTCTAGACCTTAGCTCTCACTTCTGTTTGACCTCTTAGATTTGGACACTGGAGTTTGGCCTGCTTATCCTGGCTTGAACCTTGGCTTCCCTTTGGCATTAGACCCTTACATCCAATTGTATTCTAGACATACATGGCCACCTGAATGTCCTACAGATATAGCAAGCTCAACAAGTCCAAATGAAACTGTTTACAAGTCATCCATTTTCCCCACATCAACTCAAACTCTACTTCCTGTCAGTTTTCTCCCCTGAATATACTCAATTGTGTCTTGCTACCTATATTGTATTTGTTTTCTATTGCTGCATAGCAAATGACCACAAATTTAGAGTCTTAAGACAACACACATTTATAATGTCATAGTTTATTTGGGTCAGGAGTCCAGGCTTGGCTTGCTGGCTCCTTGCTTTTAGAGACCCCCCAAGGGTCCTCACCACGTGGTCCCTCACAGGCCCTCTCTTAGCATGGTACCTTGTTTCTTCAAGGCCAGCAGGAGAATCTCCCTGCTGCTTCCAGTCTCTGACCTCTAGATACTCTGTTATGGCCTTACCCAATTTGGTTAGGTTCATCCTGGATAATTTCCCCTTTGGTTAACTCAAAATCAGCTGATTAGGGACTTCAATTACATCTGCAAAATCCCTTCACCTTTGCCATACCACAAACATGAAATCCATCCTATTCACAGGTTCCACTCACACTCTATAAGAGGGGGTTACACAGGACATGGGCACCAGGGGACAGAAATCTTGGGGCCATCTCAGAGTTCTGCCTGCCATAATATCTCATATCTCCTGCCTGAATACTACAGCCCCTTTCCTATGGACCTTCCTGTCTCTTCCTATCCTAGTCTGTCTGGCCTCAAATCCATCATCTGCGCTATTAGCGCAGTGATCTTTCTGATGCATAAATGTGATCAAGTAATTGTCCAGCTCAGTTCCACAAAGATTTGCCATAAAAAAACAGGATACACCGAATTATTTTATGTGCCATAAAGACTTTGTATGATTAAATCCTTACTGCTTTCTGGTCTCATCTCTTACTTCTCTCCTAACATCAAATATTGTGCTTCAGCTGGTGGACATCTATTTCCCTGAACACACAGTACTTTTTTCTTCCAAGCCTTTGAACTGACGGTTCCTCTCTTTTCTTGCCATCTCACCCCGCACCTCACATACTGATTGACTTATAAAGTGCAACTTTATCTTTTAAGTCTCATCTCCGTGGTGATGATTTACAGACTTGGCTGCCTTTTCTGGGTCCCAGCTGCACTCCCTACACATTTCCACTGGTGCTGCCCTCCAGCGGCCAAAGAGGAAGTCACATACGTCAAGGTGTATCTGCGATCTTGAGGGAGGGAGACCCCACAGAAATGTATTAGCGTGAGGCTAAGAAGCCTCCTGGGAAAAGAAGTCAAGCTCTGTCCTCTCTCAGGATTCAGGCAGACTTGGTGAGGTCCACACAGCCAGCAGAGGGTGGCTTGGATTTATTTTCTAGCCAAACTCACACTGGCCTCACCTTCAGACCTATGGGTCTGAAGCCTATGGATGTATAAAATAAGACCACAAGTGGCTCTTCACTAAATTCTGTAAAACTTCTTTAGGACCTGAAACATAGTAACACACAGACAGGAGAGGGTTGCATCCTCCTACTCTGCCACAGACCGTAGGCTGGCCTTGGCATCAAGAAGATTTTGAACGAGGAGGGAGGGTAACAGAGGTGTGGAGGAGCAGTGTGGCCTGCTGTGTTGTGGAAGCGGCTCTGGCAGAGCCACGGGAGAGACTCTAGACTCCAGAAGAGCAGTAGTGGTGGAAGCTGTGTCTGATGAGATGGAAGTTATCTGGGGCCCCCATGAAATAACTGAGGTCTTCGTGTGGGGAGCCTCTGTGGCGAAGTACACAGAGTCTGTGGTGAAGTACACAGACTGGTTATACTAGGGGAAATTTTGTTACATACCAATTCTCAATTTGAACTGTAATCATTATCATGCTTCTGTCTTAACCAGACAGTACACTTTTTGAAGATGAATTCTCACTCCTTGGCATACCTGAAATTTAATGAATACCAGAATGAATGACTTTTTTTCACCACATGGAACTGAGCTCAGGAGCAGCATACATGTGAAATTTTGAGAACAGATTGGGCCTACATATTTAGTGTTAGGTAAAAGCCTTTGGGAGGTTTACAAGATTGTCTGTTACAAAATTTAAAAATGGTCATACAAAAGTATATATTCATGGGTTCTTGGTATAAAGTAAATTACATTTGATTCAGAGATACCCAACTTTGTCTGTGTGGCAGCTTATGCAAGGGAGACTTCCTTTTCTCCTACTCCTTGCAGAGTGCATGTTAGACCACTGGAGGTGAGAAGGGTGGGCAATGTGGGGAGTAGATTCAAAGTGGTTTTTGATTAGACAACTACTTGATTTCGAAACTACTGGCACAGATGATCTCCAGGGCCCCCTTCCTGCTTCATGTCCTTGGCAGCTGTGTCATATTGATCCTATTTGACCATGAAACATGGAGTCCTTGGAATCACCAGCCTCTTCCATTCCTACCCAGGGGTTGAAAAAAAAGACAAAACAAAAACAAAAAACCAAAAAAAAAAAAAAAAAAAAGAAAGGAAAAGCTTTCTCTTATTGGACTGAAAATTTGGCAAGGTTACAGATACGAGCAGGAGCTCAGTACTGGATGTACAGAGACATTGGTCAGCAAATTTGTATATGATTAAATGACTGGTTCCAATGTAATTCCATTAGCCTCTTTTTTTTGTAGAAACAATTAGAAAATTCAAATACTGTATTCATAAATTGCATTTGGGACTTAATGGTGGTATTTTCTTCCCAACTGAAATGCCTCTGTGAGTTGCTCTCTAATTCCCATTTATTTTTCCTTTATACTTGAGCCTAATTCACATGTGTGTCAGAATAAAACCACTTTGTACAATCTTTTAACTGTTAAGATTGCCATCCATGGCGGTCCTGGGGTCCCAACAGAGTGTCACTCTTTTGACTGCTGCTGTTAAAAAAAAAAAAAAAGAAGAGCTCTCAAGAAATGTGACAAAATGGCTGATGTTTGAATGTAGTTGTTCTTTTAAAAATGCACGTTTCAATGATACTCATATTGCTATTGATATAGACTATTGATTTTCCATTTTGAATGGAATCTTCCAGTGGTTGTCTTGAAGCACATCATCATATTTATTTTGTATATTTATATTAAAACAACGTTATTTTCTAAGTCATGTGAATTACATACAAAGGCAAAGGAGAATTTATTTACAAAACACAAGATGCAGTTGGGTATTTGAATGTAAAATCATGGGTTCCTTATCTTCTTGTATGGTTAAAAATATATTTTTGTCAGGTTATTAGAACTCTCTGTGCTTAAGTTATTTTTATTTTATTTATAGCCATGTACCACATAATGACATTTCAGTCAACAAGGGACTGAATATACGATAGTGGTCCCATAAGATTATAATACTGTATTTGTTTGTTTGTTTATTTATTTATTTATTGAGACAGGGTCTTGTTTTGACACCCAGGCTGGAGTGCAGTGTTGCAGTCATGGCTCACTGCTTGCTTAACCTCCTGGGCTCATCCAATTCTTCCACCTCAGCCTCCCAAGTTGCCGGGACTGCAGGCACATGCCACTATGCTTGGCTAATTTTTATATTTTTCGTAGAGATGGGGTTTCACCATGTTGCCCAGGCTGGTCTTGAACTTCTGGGCTCAAGCCATCCGCTTCCTTGGCCGCCAAAGTACTAGGATTACAGACATGAGCCACTATGCCCAACCTAATACTTTATTTTTACTGTGCCTTTTCTATGTTTAGAAAACATACACAGATACACAGACACTTCCCATTGTGTTATAATTGTCCACAGTATTCAGTACGGTAACATGCTGTTGAGGTTTGTAGCCTAGGAGCAATAGGCTACACCATATAGCTTAGATGTGCAGCTAAACCGTCTAGGTTTGTGCAACTACATTCTATGATGTTTGCACAATGATGAAATTGCCTAATGATGCATTTCTTAGAATTTATCTTAATCAGTGACATATAACTGTATTTTTTTAACCATATTTCTTTGTCCAAAGAAATGAGTTTGGGTACAGTTGGTGGTTACTCAGCTGGTATTTATTCGATAATTGTTGAATTTATTTCAGGAGTAGGTACTGATAGTATCTCTCACCTGGAATTGGTCCATGTGGACTTAAGTTGGCTGAGTCCTTTTTGCCCAACCAGGGAGACTCCAGGATTTAGGTCCACCAGGGTAAACATCATGTGAAATGACCAAGAGGAAGTAGCAGATAAAGCCTACGTGATTAAGACTAACAATTACTTGTCAATTATATACCTATGAAGGAATACTCCGGTTAATAAGTATTTGTTAAGAATTCACATGTCAGGCACTGAGGATATACATAGTATCCTCCCTCGAGTCAAAATATGCTGAAATTTGCATTTATTTTCATAAGGCAATGTGCCATACATGAATTTCCCCCTGCTCCACCACTAGCCCCATACATACATACATCAGTGAAAAGAATATGGCCCTTGAAATTAATCAAACATTATTTCACATCCTGACTCAGCTATTTATTGTGTATGACCTTTGTTAAGTCATTTAAACAACACGAGACTCCTTTGCCCTCATTAGAAATTATATAATGAGGGCAATGAATACCATCCTGGTTGTTGTAAAGATAGAGATAATGTATATAAAATACCTTATATAGGGCCTGGCCTGTATGGGAACTTAATAACCTATATGGAAACCTGATTATAATAAACAAATACACTTAAAGTGTGTCTATTTCAGATCTATTGAGAACACAGTTCTCCAGTGTTTATGATAGCTGATATAGTCAGAGCTGTTGTTTCAATCATACACCTGAATGAAAATTTTCAGCAACAGCATTCTTAGAAAAGCCACTATACTCCAGCAAGCTGGGTAAGTCCTCCTTAGGTGAATCCTCCATGCCTTGAAAGATAAGTAGTTTTGGCTCCTCGAGGCACTAAACATGAATTTATATGTTTTCTCTGAGAATTTGTGCTCTCTATAAGCAGAAATCTCTGCACACCAGCCCTTGCTGTGAGGAAGCAGTGTGGCTATTTTCTAGGAGAGTAGGCTGGTTGGATCTCACCAAAGGCACGTCTTCCTTGGGAAGGAGCAGAGGACATTTCCCCAATCCTTTTTGTCAACACAGTGGGAGATATCTGAATTTCATTTGGGTATTAACTGCTGTGTGAGTTGGGTTTCTCTCTGTTAGAGGAGCTGCTGTTATTGGATTAAAACCACAGTTGTTGGGAAGCACTTAAGACTCCATGGGGGATTTCTCTATCAAATAACAGGGTCAGAGTTTTGTTTTTTCTTTTTTTCTAGCAAACCCGCTCACCAGAGTTCTGTTTTCCAGGTAGCTATATCACTTAGCTGGAGACCAAGGAGAAGCAGAATTTCTTTCTTATTATCAAAGTGCTAGACCATTCAGCTTGGAAATTGTCCAAAGCTTGATTTGGCTTGCAGCTGTAGGACTGGAACCACAAGCCTATCTGGGGACACAGAATTCAGATATTGGGGAGAATTTCAGGAGCAACAAACTCCAAGTAAAGCCACACATTCTTGTGTTCTGTAAAAAAGCTAACTTGTAAGTATTAACTCACCCCTAGATCCTCCTGTGGTTTAGATTCAGTGTAGATTTTATATTTTTATGTAGCCTCTGGTGGCCTGGGAATTGCCAGCATGGTGAGAGCTGCAGGCTGCTGCTGGCCTCCAGAGACTCTCTGGGTCTGGAACCACTGGGATATGCAAGTTGGCGTCTGCAAGCTTCCCAGGCCGAGACACCAAAAGCTCAGGTTCTGACCCCAAACCTCTTCTGCCTGTGCTCAGCCAATAAATCTATCTGGTAAAGAGAAATGTATTCAGATGCGTTGAAAGTTTAGCATCTGCTTCTCGTTGGCTCTTGCTACTTTAGAAAACATTCAGAAGTTTCTATTGGATTTGGATGAGACAGGGATGGCATATTTTCTGCATCTCTCCAGAAGCCTACACCCCACTTTGGGAGCTTCATTTACATGCACATTGGATGCCATCTGACTGCCTCGGACTGTACCTTTGAACAGATCCGATGGGATCCCCACATGCATGTAAATGAAGCTCCCTTAGCCAGAGCCTCACTCCAAAGAGGCAAAGAGCAGGCTTTTCTTGAAACTTGTTACTGCGACAATCTCAAACCAGACACCACAATAAGGAATTTTTTTCCTTGCTAGTGTGTATGCCAGGAGGACGCCACATAACTTGGTTTTCCAGACTGAGGTAATTTATTTAAACATGGATTATTTGAAAAATGGGAAGGGATACAGGGCTTGATTTTAATCCCTGCTAACACAGAGGAAAGAATGCTCGTGTCACAACTCAGTGAGTGTAAAAATTAAAAAAGGCTGAGACTATTGTTTGAAAACAGGCAAAATAATTAAAATTATTATGGAATAATCACATATCACACAACAACCTCCCACTCTTACGAGCAACAATCCAAAACAGTTCCTCCAAAGCGGGCCCAAGGGCAGAGGTTCTGTATATCATTCAAAGACCATCTGTCGTGCAATTCCTGTAGCGCCTTTGCACTATTCTGAGGGCAGGCTGAAATTTAGTCCTGGCAGTTCTCTTTCCATTTGCTAACAAACAGCAGTGATGGCAGATAAATATGGCAAACAATAGGTGTTTGTAATGAACTGGAAAGGGATGGGGAGTTTTGGAACCAACACCAAAATAAGAAGTTTTGGGTCCTGTGCTGGGCCCCTGAGACCCCCAGGGCCAGTTCCTGCCATGTGGCAGCTCAGACAGACATCTGCAGGCCGAGCGAGGCTTCCATGAGCTCAGCCAACCTGCTAAAGGCCTGATTTAAATAAAGTTCTTTTTTTTCTTTAAAAAAATTAATAATCACAAAGACTCAAAGCTAGGTTTTTCTTATCCCAGGAAACTCATGCATTGCAAATAGTTTGGAAAGCTTACTTTTTAGTTTGCAATCTTTCCTTTTATTGGGAGGTTGTGTCTTCTGTCCCCAAAATTCCCCTCACTCATGTGTTCTTGTGTACTGCCTCATTTCGTGGTTTCACGGATGCTGTTAGAGCATAATCTTGACAATTATGCTGGGTATAGTGTTTATTTTCATTGTTTCGGAAGTATAAATTTGAGATTTGATTGTCTGATGTTGAATTAGGGAGACCAAAATATTATCAAATCAACCTTCAATAATTATAGCTTTAATTCACAAATCAGTAATACCCAAGGAACTCTAGATTTGAGTAGATGTTTTGAATGTTTAGAGCAATGTAAAATTCTTTTAAAATCATTTATCGGTCACTTTTCTGTTAACTATATCTATACACACACAGGCTCATAGGCGCATATAGCCAACTCTCCATACCCCATCTGTACCCTCTCCCTTCACCCCCAGTGTCTCTGTCTCTCTCACACTCAGAGATTATTAGTCAGAAGTAGTCTCTGGAAAACTTTATACCACGTTCAGGAATGGATCACATAATGAGTAGAGAGCAGTGTTATTTGCAGTAAGCCCAGAACTGAATCTTTAATAGTTTCAGTTTCTAGTTGGAGCAAGAAAGCGTTTGTCACAGCTCATCTTGTAAAATTAACACTTCACACCAAGGAATACACTTGTCTGTACTGATCAGGAACCCATGTGGACCTTAAATAGCAAGGCCATCCTAGACATGTTCTATTGACTCAGGGGAGGGATGGCACTTGTATATACTGCCATTCAGGCCATTAACAGGAGCTATGGTGGGGTGGGTGTAGAGAAGTTCGGAAGCAGTTCTAGTCCTCTATTACTGAAATTATTAAAAGCAACAAGCTGGCATGTGGTACTCTTTCTGTACCCCCTCCCAGCCCTGACTTTGGTTCTCACTGAAAATTCTGCCCCAGTAGCGTGCTCAGCCCCAGTGTGAAAGCGCTAATGACATGTGTGTTGTAATTCAAGCAGGTTTCTATTTCCATCAGTACCTAGGAAAGAGTATAGTTTCAAACTCAAAGCTGGATGTGGTTGCTCACGCCTGTAATCCCAGCACTTTGGGAGGCCGAGGCGGGCAGATCATGAGGTTAAGAGATTGAGACCATACTATAGCACTTTTAAGTAACAAGCATGGTATGATTCCCTGAGCTATGTTACTGAGATGAAAAAAAAAAATAATAATTCTGTTACAAAAAGAGCCCTGACCCTGACCTAGGATTGGAAAGCCCAAAATAGAGTCTGGATTCCTCTACTAGATGACTGGGAAAATCATGTCTCTTTTCTAGGCTTCAGTTTGCCTTATTTATAAAGTAAACAAACCCCCTACATTCCCTTGTAGCTCTGAAATGCTACATTTTTAAGTGGAATTTTTAAAAAATCACTTCAGTTATTGGTTGTAGAATCTTCAAAGTCTGAAGCTCTATCTTTACACCAATACATGCCAATAGTACAACAACTAACTGAGATGTCTCTTAAGTCTTTGCGAAATAACCTTCGAGTCTTATTATAACTCCAGTTACTGAGTTGGTATCGGCTTAGTTGGTTCACCATGTTACTGACCTATTTACCTATCTGGTTGTTGGCAGATAGTTATAATTTGTGTTACCTGACTTCTAAAACAGTCATTCCCCATCTCCCCACCATG
The DNA here is from genome assembly GCF_000001405.40 of Homo sapiens. Taxonomy (NCBI): domain Eukaryota; kingdom Metazoa; phylum Chordata; class Mammalia; order Primates; family Hominidae; genus Homo; species Homo sapiens. The sequence continues at coordinate 99,144,868 of NC_000006.12, read as the reverse complement.
CCAACATTTGTTTTTTTTCCTGAAGGGTGGGCAAAATCCTGTCAGTTAGTATGGAATAATATTGCCACATGTGATTTCTTCCCTATCCAGTGTTGTGCTCGTGCCAGCCTGTAGCAGCTCATGAGAGCCAATTTTTGTCAGGAATTTTGCAAGTCAGTTGTTAAATTGTTGGCAGCTTTAAATTGACCATGGTGGAGTATTTACACCACAGAAATTGACAAACATTACAAATGAGGGCACTCCCTCCCCAGAGGCAGGGTCCTTCAACATTTCACAGCATCTCACTGCTCCCATGCTTATTTTCCTACCTTTCCTAGGACCAATAGCGAATTAAAATAAAAGTTAGGGTTCAATACTTCTGCGGGGAATGCCCAGTGAGGCAAAGATAAACAACTCTATAGCAAATCTATGCAAACCAAGCAATAGTTTGACGACATTATTGCTAATATTACTGTTACTGGGAATGGTGACTGATTGGAGATGTGTAGACATACTTTTTTCTGGATTTTTCTAGAGTGGTCTCACTACTAATAGACAATATTTTACTTCACCTGAAACATTTCATTCAGAATACTGAATAAATTCACCACATCTCCATATAATATCTGTGGGTTATTGCCATTTCCTTCTTTCAGATGAGGAAGCCCTGGGTTATGTTAGCTCTTACAAAAAAGTAATACCTAAACAGAGTATGTCATTACAATTCAGTCAATTCAGAATACACTTATCAAGGGCCTATTATGTCGAAGGCACTGGACTATAATAGACCAACTGAATTAACAATACTAGAACTAGCCCCACGTCTTCTAATTTTTTTCAAATTCAAAACAAATTCATGTACATTTATTTCCACCACAACGAGGTCTGAGCATATTGGCTATCCATTCAAAATGAGCTCTCAGTTTTGAAGAGGACTTCAGAATCTTCACAACAAACTAAGGAGGGAAGACTCTATGCTCTCAGGCCAGAATAGAGAGGATTAAACAGCAGTGGGTGGCAGCTGGTCAGTTTACCAGACAGTTCTAATGTGGAGATGTTTCTGAAAAGAGAGTGGAGATTTTCCATTCCATCCTGGGAACTGGCCCATGCTTCCAGGGCAAGTGCAGGCTCAGCTTTTGCCAGGCACCAGTAAAACTGGAAAGCACGCTGAAAGCAGATGCTGTTAAAAATCAAACAGGAAATTGTGCTACTCCAGAACCTCCTGGATAGTGAAGTCAAGACACCCAGTAGAGAGTTTAAAAATCAATGCCAGGTCAACGATGAAGTCACCAAACCTGGTTAGTAAATTTGCCGTTCCTCGAAAACCTATGTGTGCGTCATTGAATTGTATTTTGTCTCATGATGCTTCCTCTTCTGTCTTGTTTCAGTGCAAGTGACTAGAGTGGGTTATCTGAGCACTATTTTTCCTTAAAGAGATCATATATGAGATCTCTTTTCCTGTCAAAAATAGTGAAAATCCTTTCCCTCAGATAGGAAGTCTCTGTGTTCTAACTGTTGGCAATGCTTTGTACTGGAAAGCATCCAGTTGGAATAGACAAGAACTGAACTTTAGTTTTAGTTCTATTATTGATGGGCCAGCCCATGACACTGGGAAAATGACCCAATCATTGGAGCCTCAGTTAACTCACCTCTAAATGAGGTAAAACTTGATGAGCTGTATATATGACAACCTGGGAATGTTTTAATACAACCATTCAGTGTCCCCTCTACTCATCACCCACATTTTCTCCATGTAATGAATTTATTTTTACTTCTCCTAAACCACTTTTAATATTCTAAATGAAGCTCCCTTTCTTTATAGCCATGATTCTTAGAGTGGGCTCAGATGAGCAATGCCAGGATCATTCAGAACCTTATCAGAAATGCAATTCTCAGGCCTGACCCTGGATCTACTGAATCAGAAACTCCTTTGGTGGAGCCCAGCAATGTGTTTTGACAAGCCTTCAAGGGAGTTCTGACACACTGTTTTTTTTTTTTTTCCATTTTAACCTTTTTTTTTTTTTTTATTGATCATTCTTGGGTGTTTCTCACAGAGGGGGATTTGGCAGGGTCATAGGGCAATAGTGGAGGGAAGGTCAGCAGATAAACAAGTGAACAAAGGTCTCTGGTTTTCCTAGGCAGAGGACCCTGCGGCCTTCCGCAGTGTTTGTGTCCCTGGGTACTTGAGATTAGGGAGTGGTGATGACTCTTAACGAGCATGCTGCCTTCAAGCATCTGTTTAACAAAGCACATCTTGCACCGCCCTTAATCCATTTAACCCTGAGTGGACACAGCACATGTTTCAGAGAGCACAGGGTTGGGGGTAAGGTCACAGATCAACAGGATCCCAAGGCAGAAGAATTTTTCTTAGTACAGAACAAAATGAAAAGTCTCCCATGTCTACTTCTTTCCACACAGACACAGCAACCATCCGATTTCTCAATCTTTTCCCCACCTTTCCCCCCTTTCTATTCCACAAAACCGCCATTGTCATCATGGCCCGTTCTCAATGAGCTGTTGGGTACACCTCCCAGACGGGGTGGTGGCCGGGCAGAGGGGCTCCTCACTTCCCAGTAGGGGCGGCCGGGCAGAGGCGCCCCTCACCTCCCGGACGGGGCGGCTGGCCTGGCGGGGGCTGACCCCCACCTCCCTCCCAGACGGGGTGGCTACCGGGCGGAGACGCTCCTCACTTCCCAGAGGGGGTGGCTGCCGGGCGGAGGGGCTCCTCACTTCTCAGACGGGGCAGCTGCCGGGCGGAGGGGCTCCTCACTTCTCAGACGGGGTGATTGCCAGGCGGAGGGTCTCCTCCCTTCTCAGACAGGGTGGCTGGGCAGAGATGCTCCTCACCTCCCAGACGGGGTCGCGGCCGGGCAGAGGCGCTCCTCACATCCCAGACGGGGTGGTGGGGCAAAGGCGCTCCCCACATCTCAGACGATGGGCGGCCGGGCAGAGACGCTCCTCACTTCCTAGATGGGATGGCGGCCGGGCAGAGACGCTCCTCACTTTCCAGATTGGACAGCCAGGCAGAGGGGCTCCTCACGTCCCAGACGATAGGCAGCCAGGCAGAGACGCTCCTCACTTCCCAGATGGGGTGGCGGCCGGGCAGAGGCTGCACTCTCGGCACTTTGGGAGGCCAAGGCAGGCGGCTGGGAGGTGGAGGTTGTAGCGAGCTGAGATCATGCCACTGCACTCCAGCCTGGGCACCATTGAGCACTGAGTGAACCAGACACCATCTGCCATCCCGGCACCTCCGGAGGCCGAGGCTGGCGGATCACTCACGGTTAGGAGCTGGAGACCAGCCCGGCCAACACAGCGAAACCCCGTCTCCACCAGAAAAATACGAAAACCAGTCAGGCGTGATGGCGCGCACCTGCAATCGCAGGCACTCGGCAGGCTGAGGCAGGAGAATCAGGCAGGGAGGTTGCAGTGAGCCGAGATGGCAGCAGTACAGTCCAGCTTCGGCTCAGCATCAGAGGGAGACGGTGGAAAGAGAGGGAGAGGGAGACTGTGGGGAGAGGGAGACCGAGAGGGAGAGGGAGAGGGAGAGGGAGAGGGAGAGGGAGAGGGCAACACACTGTTTTAGAGAGTAAGACTGAAACATGAGTGTAGGGGACAATATTAGGTCACATGGGGAATAGCTGTCTCGAAATTCCTCGGGCTGTCAAGGCCAAAGTTCTCTCTAAACCCAAGCACTTTCATCCTTAGGTCAGTTTGTAAAAACTATACCACGTACCAGTTTGCAATAGTGAAGAGTCCAATACTATTATTGTTAGTAGTAAAGACAATAATAACATGTGTATAGTACTTTTTACATTTAAGTATTTTAACCTCATTTTCTCATTTGAGGCTTGGAGCTGGCAGCTATAATGGTGATGACAAGAGGCTGTGGTACTCTGAGTTGTGACTTAGCAACTTAACAGACTGATTTGCTTTCAAGGAGAAATGCAGCCCCTGCTCCAAGGTCACCTTTCCTGGAGTGTGGTGATGGACAAAACTCTACTAGTGCCACACACAGTTTCTGCTACTTTCTCAGTTTGGATCAGTGATCTTTTCTGGGGAATTGTGGATCCAGCAGACCAATAATCTCATAGCTCAACCAATGACAGATACCACAAGGGAAATAATTTTCACATTGAAGGCACCCAACACCATGACCAAACAAGTTACAAGTGTGGATGGAAAAGCTCTTGTTTCTGCAAAGCTTGGGTGAGAGAAGCCTGCTGACTGGGAATTAACTTATACTGCAAGTCAGAAGAGGCTGTAGAATCGGGTGACATATGGCCCTCGGGCCCCTCACTCCTGTGATTGGCAGGTCACACTCTCTGGTTTTTTGACTAAGGCCTGTCATAGTTGAAAAGACAGCTAGTGAAATGGTTTTCACTTCACTGAGGGCTATGCCACAGGTCACCCAGTGCTGCCACCCTCACAGTGAAATGCTGCAATGCGTCTTGGATAAGGACAATGCTTAGGATAGTTTCACTTGACTGTGTGTCGCTGCTGGATGAAATGGTTGCCAAACGGACTAATGGAAAGAAGAGGAAATATTGTATACTATAGAGATTTGCTAAAGCTGACAAAAGGATGTATTATTTATTAACATGCTTATACAGAAGCTGGAATCACACCTTAGTAAATATAAGAAATAAGTGTATGCAAAATCAATTCTAGTTTTGGATAAGAATTAAGAAACAAACAAGGGAAATACCTCATTAACATCCTAATTAATAGGAATTTTGTAAAGAAAATCTAGAAAATCATGAGTGTCTTTCAGGGGATAGGTTTGATCTGATTTGATAGAATCAAATCATTTGGCTACAAACCTCTGCAGAGTTTCTCTGGCTTGTATACATTACGTAACAGCATATATTCATTAATGCAAATACATATTTAATTGTCCTTAGAATGAAATTATATAGCATTTAGAAATGAATAAATGCATAGCCTGTGGGATTGTTCATGGCGATATCTCTCAGTTGTTTTTGTGTATGTGTAGTGTGTGTATGTTAAAGCTATTTAGTTATTTCTGCTTTTATTATGTCATGAAAATGATAAATATGGGTGTGAGAGAGGCGGGGGGGCGGGGAGAGAGAGAGAGTGCTTATTCTCATCAGTGATTCAAGAGACAGGTGTAGATTATCCTGGCAGATATTTCAATGTTACTACTTGATAGAAGTTGGAATGGTAGAATGGTAGGGAGCCTGTTTTCTGTGTGCATTTTTCTTAAGTAATACTTCCCTTTCTTTTTTCTGTTTTTTTCTTCTCTTTATTTTTTTAAAAATAAAAATCTTGAATTGGTATTCAAATTCATTATGGGACATCATTAGAAAAACAGAAAATAATGTCCAATCTGATAACATTGGTGAAACATTCCTTTAAAGGGATTTAAAAAATCTAAAACCACATAAATGTAAGTATCTAGCTTTAAAATCTTCATTTCATGCTATTTCAGAGGGCACATTGATTTTTGAGTGTCGTCCTTGATGCATCTGTCGAGATCAGGAGATACGGCACAGTATGCTCATCACAGAAAGGGAGGGTCACATGATGGTTAAAGAGCAAATTGCACTGAGAAAAGTGTATATTCTGTCAAAGTAAAATAATTCTATGAAAATGGTGATCTCTCCCCTTGTCTGTCTGCCTGGTTCTTTTTTTAAAAAATATTTCAAATCTTTCTTTTATTTTTCTTTCACGCAACTACTGACAGAAAAAATTAAGCTTTGACATTGATATTTTTAACTTTCTGGATGAGTTGATTATCCACATCACAATTAAAGACCAAACACTAGCTAATGTTCACCTAGTAAAAAAAGAACTGGCAGATTAACTAAATGGAGTGTTTTTTTCTATATAGTGAAAGCTATTTAGTTATTTCTGCTTTTATTATGTCATGAAAATGATAATTAATTTGAATTTCCATAAGTAGGTTTAAATTTAATACGTATTGCAGTTCACAAAAGGGATCCAGGCTCAATCAATGTTTTCTTATGATGAGACCTTTTTTCTTAACTTAAAGTAACAAATGATCAATGTTCATATTAAACGTTTAAACACAATCCACAATTCATGAATGATTGTTTCTTGACATGGCTGTTATTTGATATCTAGTGGTTTTTCATATGCATGTTTGTCTGACTCTATCTGTCATTTACAGGGTTTATCACCATCTGAAATCCACCCCACCCCTTAGTCAATTGGGCAATTGGGTGGCCTTTGTCCAGAATATCCTCTGCTTGCCATCTGCCCACCTGGTCTATTAGTGGTTGTTTCCCTGGTGTTTATTCTAAGCTACACTTTCTCAGGCATTTTGCTCTTGGCTGTGTACATGTGAGGTTAAATGACAAAAAGGTTAAAAATTCTGCCATCAAGTAAACAAATGCCTCAGCTGGCTTACTGAGTAAATTTGTTTTCTCTTAAAAGCCGAATTCTATCAAAGTAGTTGTGCACACGGACACAGCCTGACTGTAGAGCATTAGAGGAAAGATGTATCTGTACCTCTGGAAGATCTATCTCACCTTGATATTGAGTTCAGTGATCATCCAAGTTGTGGCTGGCACCTTCCTTCTTCCATGAAACTACCTGTGTTCCAAAAATGGACAGAGTAGCGTGTATAGAGAATTCTATCATCTTCTCTTTGGGTTTTATTCAGTTAGCAACAAGGCTGCAGTTTCTACTGCGGAGTTCACAGGGAAGATTAGATATTCACTTTGGAGGGTCTTAGTGAATTGTGTACATGACACTCTAGTTTTTTTTTTTTTCGCATTCCTGGGACATCTGTAGTTCTGAATTTCTAAGCAAATTGGGATAAGTTGAACAGCTTTGCCTAGTGGGTAGTGTTAAATTGAAATGAAAAATATTGGCAATTCCTGGCTTGTATTGATTTCAGATATTAAAAACTCTGTAGGCCTTTACTTCCTGGATATATTTAACCCCTCAATCTTTTTGGGTGAATAGCCAAATTCTGACCTAGTTCTTGAGACAGCTATAGTATTTTTTTTTTTCCTTGAAAGTACTTTTTGAAGAATAATATCTAGCTATGCATCTTAAAATATTTTTCTTGCTACTGAATTAAAGTATATTGTAGAAAATATAAATTATCAAAGAGAAGAAACTAAAAATCACTTCTAATTTCACCTTTACAGATAAGCACTCTCAGTATTTTGAGTGATTTACTTCTAGTCATTTTTCCCTACACATATAAAAAGCTAATGTTATTTCCTTATAGGGGCTTAAGGGGTTAAAAGAGAAAGAGAGGATTATTTCACTTCTTGCTTACATTTTCAGTTCCCTCAAGGTCCCCTCTTTAACAGACTGTCTCTGGAGTGATTCAGGATGCTGAAGCAGTTGATCACTGAATAAATCTTCCCTGACTCTGAAAATGTTACAGTATTATGCAGCGCACACAGCGTGGGTTGCAGCTGAGCTGCTCTGTGGCCAGAGATGATCTCTGGGTAAAGAAATTGCCTAGAATTACCCAAGGGAGTTTGCATTTCAGTAGCGAAATAGTGAGTGCACTAATGGAATTGAGTGACTTGCCCAAGATTTTGCCCATATAAACACTAAACAAGGGCTGGTGGAGTATAAGATAACACAAATCTCTGTATCTTTTGATTCAAGAAAGAGAAAGACACCCTATAAATGTCATTCATTAGAGAGCCCCAGAAATGGGCCATTTTAAATATATCACCGAACTGCTGGCAGGATGGAATGTCCTGGAAGCCCCATTTCTCTTGGAGCCATCCTGAACAAGAAAGCCATGGAGCATGAGGTAATGTCTGCTTCAAAGAGTTTCAGAGCTTCCGATGTCGGCCTGTCCTCTGTATTGGTACTTGAATATGGGAGACCGGGGAATAGCATCTCAAAATATATTCTAGAGATCTATTTCCCCAGCACTTGGACGGTGAAAAATCAGGTTTATCTTTGGATTTAAAGGAATATTTTGATGCCATTCTGGCCATCAGAATAATTTCAAAACATATTCCTCTAAACCATGGGCTATTTGTCTTATTCGATTTTGTCTTTTCAATGCTGAGGCAAGTGCTGTCACCTATTAGGTGCCCAATAAAAATTGACTGAATCAGGAAATGACTGAAGGTGTATAATTAATAACGACTTGGGACTAGCTATAATGTGTAAAGGACATGGCCATATCCAGCAAGAAATACTTTTGTGTGCCGTTTCTGCTTCATGTGTCAACAAAAGGAAACCCTTAAGATTTTTGCACTATGATGTCATCCACCAGAAATTCAACCTGTCAATCTCAATTCAGCACACAGATGTGTTTTCCAGGGGTGCAAGTTGGGCAAAGGGGTGGCAAAAGTAGCACATTGAAAAATATTCTCAATGTAGTTGACTTTGGATGGAATATTTATTTTCTTATACATACACTTAAATTGCTATATACACAATTTTCGTGCTCACTTGTGAAGGCATTTGAACTTGAGAATCTTGGTGTGGTGCAAAACTTCCTCATATACCAGATCTACTGAATCTTACTCTTGTTGGGGAGGGGGCAGGAATTTATAATTTCAAAAAGCCCTCCAGATGATGTGAATACAGGTGGTCCACAGATAGGCATCTGGGGACCAGTGGTATAGAGAAAGGGATAATGTGACTTTTCTATTTTTCTATAATTTATGTGAACCATTTAGTCTTAATGTCTAGTTACTATGCAGTGCCATAACAATTACCACATGTGTATTGTTAAATGTGTGCCCGATTAACTTTATTACAGGTTGTATTTGAAATAGCAGTAATGGCTTCTACATGGGGTCTCTGTCTTCAGAGATTTTATGAGCAGATTATTAGCAACATTAAAGGGAACACAGTTTAGGGCCAAAATTTAGTATTATGGCTTTTGTTAATTTTTTCATGTATGTCTGTATGGGAAGTCAAGCTGTAAATAGTTTGCCATCATTTTAAATCATTATATTTTAATCAGATAGAATATTGCTGTTACTCCTTATACGATAGTTGGATTTTCATTTGTTTGTGACGAATTTTGGAGAAAAGACAATCTAAAAGTTTGTAGAATAAGCAAAATTCTGTTGTGATGACAGTCTCCCCTAATCTAGGACATTGCTGATCTAATATCAGGACATATTCTGGTGCCCATTGGCCTGCCTGGTGATTATTTGGCATGGCCAAGAAATATTGAACCAGAATCCATATCAAATTCAAAGATCCATGCCAAGGAAAGAAAGAACATTTTGTTTAGACCAGGCTTTACAAATGACCAGAGGTGTCCCTCATTCCATCATAGGCCTTTACTGTACCAGGAATTACTGGACACTTGTTTACCACATACACATTGCCAAATAGGAGCCTTTCTGACAGTGGTCTTTAAGTCATAAGTTACCACCAACTTGTACTATTCTAGAAAAAATAAAAATAAGAAAGTGAAAAGGATGGATAAAATAAATAGAACATGAAGCAAATTTTGGGAGAAAGTTCGTCATCCTAAAATAACTATTGAGGATGATTGATGGGCAAGGAAGGCTCTGTCCTGAGTGGGTGGGGATAGAATCACCACTTGGTCTTCACCTTCAGAGCTCACAGTTTGCCAGGCTTCATCTGGGTCCAGCTATCACCCTGTAATCAGCAGAAATCTCTCATCCTGAATTAGTCGCTCATCGACACCAACCCCCATTAGGTTTAGCGAAGAGCTGGAGTGCCAACAACAAAAAAATATGTCCTGTGTCTTGCTTCATTGTTATCCTGAGTGATTCCCCAGGGAGGCAGAGATGTTTGCATAAATCACCAGCTTTGGTGCCCAGCCCACCTGACCTCATATTCCAGCCAACACTAACTTCTGTTGCAACCCTGGACATGTTGAAGCTATAAAAGTCTTTGTTCCTGTAGGTGATAAACAAGGATGCTGATATCCACCTTGTAGTGCTGCTTTGAGGATTAAGTGAGCTTGCGTATATACAGTGGCCTGTCATGTGGTCATATATCACTAAGTGGTGGCTAATTTCCTTTGCTAGGGTCTGAGGAGCTGGCTCAAAGTTGTCCTGACGGCAAAGTGGAGGTGACAGGTCCTGGACTTGTGCAGAGGGATCAATGAAGCATTCCAGAGGAGGTGATGCTCTGCAAATCAGCCCTCCCTCCACCAAGGGCATGGAGCATTTGTCTATAAGCAAGGACATTAATTTGGATCTGGGGACTAAATTTTACCACAAACACACTGCTGGAGTTTACTCTAGTTCTGTACCCCAACTGAAGTGTAATAATACAGGGGCATGGTGTAAAAAGATGCAGCTTTCTTGGACACGCATAGGAAGGAAGAGAGCTATGAGTGCCAGGAACTGCCAGGGTTCAAGTTTAGGGGGTAATTTTTAGTTCTTTCAATAACCTGCCATTGTTTATGCAATGAATTTAAGGAAAAAGCAGATTAGCAAAAGATATTTTACTGCAGCGGGGTGTCTTTTGAAGGCCTGATTTCTCTTCCCCTCACTCCCTTTCCCCTCTCTTTCCATCTCTTCCCCTCTCTTTTCCTCCCCTTTACCCTTTAACTGAACCTAGTTCAGGCATCATCTTCTCTAAAGGGCATCTTGTGATGCCTCCTATTCATATTCAGCCTTGCTCTTTGCCCTACCAATAATCTGATGTGATTCTTTGCACAGTCTGTTAACTATTTTACACATTTACATCTTCTCTTCTCTGAGAGAGTGAATGCTTCTGGAGGTGTGGGGAGAAAATTTCCATTTCTTTCATTATTCTTTCAGCTCCTAATCTGGGCCATGCACATGCTAGTAAATGTAGCAATAAACACCAACCAAATAAACAAGTGCTTATGTTTCCAAAAGGCCAGTGGGTGCAGTCAATACATTCTTATTATAAGAAGGACTTAAAGGACTAGAATTCATTGGGTGGGGGGATGGGCAGAATGTTTGCTTTATTAGCTCTCCTGGTCACATTAATTTAATGCAGAATATTCAACCTGGTTGAATCTTCACTTGCTAATTAAGGAATCGTTACCTGGGATGCCGGGAACACACCAGACCAGAAATTATCTCTGGTTTTGCTTCTAAGAAGAGGTGTAACTTTTCAGACAATTCACTTCATCTTTCTCTGTCCAGGCTTTCTCCACCATTAAATACAGGTGCTAGAATAGGTAATCTGTAAGTTTCTGGTGTTGCCTAAGATTTTATTCTTTCTATGCTTTAAGGTCTCTGTTATGATCATGAATGTTCTTTATGTAGTCCTGTAGCTATCTGTGGAAGGTATAAAAATTGAATTAGTCATCCTTTTAAAAATTACATTTCCAATAAACAATTTTGTGTTGTTGTTGCTTATTTTGGATACAATTACAAAAAAAATCTGGTATATTGAGGGTTTGAATCAATGAAGCTTTTACCCAAGTTGAGGATTCAAAGACAGATCATTTTAAACAATCAAGAATGCCTTTTAAATAACTTTTATGAAAAATATTCTATAGCATTTTTATAATTATGTTTTAAAATTTTGTCTTTAATTTTAAAATCTCAATGCTATTGAGCTATAAAAGGTAGAGAGACTAAAAAACCTAATATCTAGAATAAATATATTTTTTCCTGTTAAAATTACAGTATTATGAATGTTCTGCTTGATTAACTTCCGATTATAACATTCTAATTGGAAAAGTCCTTCAGGTAAAATAGGACAAGTTATGGTATAATAGGCTAAGAAGCGCGACTTCACGTACACAGTCAGTCAACAAGTATTTAACAGAGCTCCTGGTGTGTAGAGTTCTGGGCTGGAGACTTATGGGGAGGCAATAAAAGTGGGTAGATTGTGTCCTCAGAGCATTTACATTCTGATCTACAACTTGTACTTACTTTACACCGTAATATCTATATCTATATATCTATATCTATATTTATGTCTCTTTCTATTAGCTGAGTAAATAAATCCACCCAACTCAACTCTTATTTTAAAAAGCAAAACATAAAACAGTAGTCTCACAGTTTCTCTTTCAAAATAATTTTCCAAGTTCTACTTACCCTGAAATTTTTACATTGGCTGCCTGCACGCCTGCACTCTGAACTCAGTGATTGACATTCTAATAACTCCTGGCCCTCCCAGATGTTTTTTTCTTAACTGAAAACAACACAGCATTTGCCTGAAGACAACATCTTTGAGTTATCTTATGAATACAGATTCTCTTAAAAACCAATCAGAAGAAGAAGAAAACAGTAAAGACATACATAAAATATCATAATTTCTTTTAGGCCCTGGGCCTGAGTTTATTTTCAGGTCCATTTCAAAATTTTTGAATTTGTTTATGCATCGCCTGCTTTGTTTCAGAAAGGATTGAAGGTTACTCTATAGTCTCTGTTTTTAGTTCTCAAGTGGAACTAATTTGAACAAATCAACCAGATAGCACAAAATGGGCCCTATGTTAAAAATGTGGCAAGCAACCAACTGCCACTGAGAAATGAAGAGGGATGCTGAAAAGGCTTTGGAAGCTGGAATATTTTCCCCTATTGACCTTTCTATTATCAGACTTCATTAGAATCACTTCTTAGGAATCTTCTGTAGACAGGCATTTTAACTGGCTTAAGATGTTACCTGGGAGAGGTGCCAAATAAACTAATCTGTGTTAATGTGTTATATATCTGATTAATTCATGGTTGCAAACACAGTGTCTCGGGGGCCAGGCCAGTGGCTTGCATAGGGCCGCTGACTGGGAAGGGCTGGATGGGAGTGGGGAGCCCCAGCCTCCTCTGGGGGCCAGCAGTGTCTCAGCCCCCCATGAGTGCAAGGGACTGCAGTCCTGGCAGCCAGTTTCTCTCATTTTAAAAAAGATGAATATATGAAAGATCCCGATCTAAAATGTTAATAATTCATTCAGAGTTTTTGGAAACACTGCATGGTCTTAAAAAAAAATCTATCTGGCCACCCTGATTTGGCTGGACTTGTCAGCCTTCAATTTGCCACCTTGGAATCAAGCTCATTAGTCATGTTGTATCCTGATGGCAGGTCCCGGAGCAGGAGACTGTTCTGATGGAGGGCTGGGATGGAGGAGTGGTCTGTGGCTAAGACCCAATACCCAGGGTGTGGGATATGGGGCCGGGGGCAGGACCAGGTCCTATAGTCCTGACTGGAGTCAAATTTGAAATAGGATGAGGGCAGAGGAAGGGTGGATGGGAGCCACATCTCATTTATTCTAAGACCCTGAATGACCGGGAGGCCTCTGTCGGCTTTAGTAAATGACACTCGCTTCCCTTTGATGTGGAAGTTGCCCTTGTTTGAAGAACTCTGTGTATTCTTTGGTTTTCGAGGTACTCCTGAACAGAGCAGATACCAGGGTCCTGCCCTATCAGTCAGTAAACAAGCCCCTAGTGAGACTTGCTGGCTGATCCTCAGCCAGAGGATTAGCAACGATGTAAAGAAACACAGGAACACACTTCGAAGAGCGTCTTCTTGGCACTGGAGTCAGCCAACAGCTGGCCTTCCGGAGAAATGCAATCCTTTAATTCAGGACCAAAAATATAATTTCTCAAACAGGTCCCGAGAGTCCACCGTGACCGTCTGGCACTTATGATGAGGAGATGCTATCTGAGCCAGGTTCAGTATGAAAGACTCTCTGTGCTACAGGCATGGGCCTTAGTGGGAGACATGGGAGTTCCAACAGGTGACCTTGACATGTGGGATTCTAACACAAAGGCTGTTGGGGATGGTAGGGGAAATTGTGGGTGGCAGGCAAGAAGGTACAAGGAGGGTGTTATTATCTTGAGCACAATTAGCACTTGACAAGTGGCTTATTTTCTGTCTGTGGAAATATAGGCCAATGTAAAACTTCTGGCTCTCGTTCTGTTCTTTTCCCCTCATGGGCCAGCATTAGGGGGAGCTCTGTGCTTGACTAAGATACGGAGTTGGCTTAGTTCAGCCGCATCTGAAATTTTCAGAGAATGCACAGACCTCATTTTATATTCTTTTTAATGCTATGCCTTTTTCCTGCAGCAACAAGTGATTGCTTTAGGATATTATTTCAGGAATGGGTATGAGAAGGCACTGGGGCTGAACAAAAGAGAAGCCATTGGTGTTGATTTTAGTATTTTGGAACAAGAGGAATTTCTCTTAGAAAGCAGCATGTGTGAATATGAGAGAGAGGAAAAGAGAAGAGGGAGGGAGAAGGAAGAGGGAGAATGAGAGAGGAAGAGAAATTCTTAGTTACTATGAGAAGGGCTTTATATACATGTGACTAAAGTGAGTCTTAATCAAGGGCTGATTTTTTTTCATTGTCATGACCACTAAATTTCCTTGTCATAGACACTGATTATAAATCAGGTTAATCGTTATATAGCAGCTGACCACTTGACCAATAGATCGGATGGAGTTAACTTAGAACAACCAACAATTTCAGTGCATTGTTCAATAGTTGACAAGTGAGTGGCTGGAGTGATCGCATCTGCAGCCAAGATTTAAATGGTTCCCTTCCAGTTTGTGTGGCTGGCTTTGATGTAGTGATTTAACCCCCCATGAAGATGAGGATCTGGAAATATAAGTAGGATCTGAAACTGGTCTGCAGCTGCATGCACAGAAACACCCTGTAATGCTGCCTTTGTAATAAGGAGGAATCCATACTCTCGACAGTCACTCCCTGACTCTCCTCTTCCTCTTCCTCATCTTTCTGTGCGTGTAGTGGATTTACTACGGTTTATTTTCATTCTCATCAGTTAGGAGGAAATGGAAGAAAGAGTAAGTAACTGAGGTTGAATATGTTAACTTACTGGGCTGTTTTCATTAAGCAAATAAACAACAATAAAAAAAATCTCAAGCTAAAATGAACCATAGGTTCCATTTGTGAAATTTGATGATACAGATAACCTTAGGTTTTCACTACTATCTCTATGTATATTTCCTAAATAGCAATATCAGCAAAACTTCACAGGCATTGGGGTGGGTAATAATATTTCTTTAAAATACTCAGGAGAAGTGAAAGTCATTTCAAAGGACTTTAACTGTCATGGAGTCATTCCACTTCCCACTTAACTTTTTCTGCCTCAAGGTCCCCTCTACGCAGACTGTCTAAGGCGTGATTTAGGTTTTTGGAAGCAGCTGGTGGCAGCATAAATCTGGCCAGACAAGGAGGGTGCTGTGGAACTGGCAGTACACCCTGAGTGCCCGAATGTCACATGAAACACTCTGCAATGAAGCAAGCAGGGTCTACTAGGTGCCCTGATCAATGTGAATATATGTAAGGAAAGGAGAAAATGTTGGTTCGTATATTTAATTTACAGACATACAATTCAAGTGTGGTTTCAGGCCCAGCATGGGTGATGTTAGAAAGGCCTTGTGCAGTGCTCCTCCAAGTGGGGTCTGAGGCATCTGGCCTGTGGTCTCACTGCTGACCTACTGCATCAAAACAAGGGAATGCTGTTTTTCAGTGTCCCTGGTGATTCTTGGTATACTCGAGTTTCCGAACTGCTGTCTTAGGGCCCCTAGGGTCCCTATCCTGAGAGGTTAGACAAGAAAGGGAGGGCATGGTGGTTCCCTGGCTCTTTCACCTGCATTGTTAAAGTATCCTCAAGTGACGGAAATATCAGTGAAGAAATGGTAGCTTAGAGAAGTTAAGCAAATCGTTCAAAGTCACACAGCTTGTAAGAGGTAGAGCCAGCCCTTGAGTCCTCCTTAACTTGGTTGAAAATTAGTATTCTTTTCACTAACCCATGAAACGTAGAAGATTTTTAATTTTTCTTGCCAAAAAGTCCCCAGACATTATTTCTTGTAATCAGGCATGAAAAGAAATTGTGTAATTCCCTTTTCTTAACATCGTTCAAGCTCCTCTTAACCTCCTGGTGGGGAGGCCCTGACTCTGCCAGCTGCAGAGCCAATATAAGCTGCCTGTTCACACTTCACAGCAGCCACCTTTTCCTAGGGCCCACTCCGGGAACTGGGGAGAAAAGAGGGTTTCATGCCCCATATACAGGAGAATTCAGATTCCACATTTCTTAAATTTTGCATTCTTTTAGCCACTATGATGTATCATGTCTTATACCAATCTTTGGTTTTCTGTTGTTTGTAGAAATAGAAATAAAGTTTCTTTTTAGGAAAATTTGAGGTTAAAATACTCTGAATTTGGTAAGATTCATAATTTTTTTTTTTTTTTTGAGATGGAGTCTCGCTCTGTCACCAGGTTGGAGTGCAGTGGCGCAGTCTTGGCTCACTGCAACCTCCGCCTCCCCGGTTCAAGCGATTCTCCTGCCTCAGCCTCCCGAGTAGCTGGAACTACAGGCATGCACCACCACGCCCAGCTAATTTTTGTATTTTTAGGAGAGGCGAGGTTTCACCATGTTGGTCATGATGGTCTTGATCTCTTGACCTTGTGATCTGCCTGCCTCGGCCTCCCAAAGTGCTAGGATTACAGACGTGAGCCACAGCACCTGGCCCATAATTTTTTAAAGAAGATTTTAGTTTGCAAAAGAAAATCTCTTAAAGAGGGCTTTACCATGAGAATTTATCCCTAGTCAGGGACTCATCCTTTTGGTTTTTGTATTTGTGGTGTTTGTTTGTTTGTTTTTGAGACGGAGTCTCGTTCTGTCGCCCAGGCGGGAGTGCTGTGGCGCGATCTCCACTCACTGCAAGCTCCGCCTTCCGGGTTCACGCCATTCTCCTGCCTCAGCCTCCCGAGTAGCTGGGACTACAGGCGCCCGCCACTGCGCCCGGCTAATTTTTTGTATTTTTAGTAGAGACGGGGTTTCACCGTGGTCTCGATCTCCTGACCTCGTGATCCGCCCGCCTCGGCCTCCCAAAGTGCTGGGATTACAGGCGTGAGCCACCGCGCCCGGCCTTGTTTGTTTTTTAAAGATACTGATTTTAGAGCATCTCAGAAATGCTTCTTGGTGAAATCTAACCTACAGCATTTGTCTTTCAGATTGAGAGTGGAATCACACAATTTCGTGAAAAGGTTATGGGCTCTGGGGACAAACAAAAGCAAGCTACTGAACTGTTTGGTAGTTCCTCAACCATTAAATAGGGATAATAAAGCCAACGTCACAGGGAGGCTGTGATGATTAAATGAGATGGAGGCTGCGATGATTAAATGAGATGAAGGCTGTGAAGGGCCAATCCCTGCATCTGGCATAAGGAAGGACTCAAATGTCAGTGCCTTCCTTGTTTTCGGAAGGTTGAATAGAGAGGCCATGACCATGGGGCTGGAGCCTGCAGCAACTGGAAGCTGTGGCGAAACACCATACACAGGGAAGGGGACTGGTTGACACAGACCAAAATATATAGTATTCCACCTTCACAAGAAGCAAGTTGTGCTCCTCTCTGCTTCTTTGACTCCCAGCTACCCAGCCATGTAGAGGCCATCTTTAAAGAGTGCTCTGTAGTGTGCAAACGCCATCAAACCCACCATTGACTGCTTGGGTTGGTATCCTATTTCTGCCACTTAATAGCTGTGTAACTTTGGGCAAATTACTTTCTCAATTGCTTCCCTTGTAAAATGGAAATAATGGTGCCTACTTCAAGGGTTCTGATAAGGATTAAATGTGTAGTGTTTCCACAGTGTCTGGCATGTAGTAAGTGCTCAATAAATGCTGTCATAACCTCCTGTACTATGAATTGTCTATTTATATTATTCATGTAGTGCAGCTAGGAAAACCACTTTAACTCACTGAAGTTGTTTTTCTCTCCGTGAGTGTGCAAAGTTAAATAGGGGCAAAAAGCATCACCCAGTTTTTAGACAAAGGAAAGTGTGAGGAAGGAAGCTCCATGGTCACTTGCTGAATAATGGGCAACATTCACGCAAGTCTTCATGATAAGTTTGTTTGCTTCCATGTCTATTAATATAAAAGCCAAATCCTTCCTGTCTTTGGTTCTTTTTCTTATTAGCAACGTTCAAGTTTCTCTCTGGCCAAGTTTTACGTCCTACTTTGTCCACTTAATAATTATATTGACAGTCCAGCTGTGGCAGAATATTTTATTTTGGCCCAACTCTCCTGGTAAGAATAACTAGAACAGCTGGATAAATATTAACAACTATTTGTCTGAAAGCACTGAAGAACAACTGTGGCAGCAAGAACTGGAGATGACCAAGATCCTGAAAAGAGGGGAAGTGCAGAGAGGTGAACCTGACATTGAACATCAGACATTTGCTCACTGAAAAGTGGCAGCTGGGAGGCTGAGAGGCTGAGCAGAAAGTGGCGGCTGAGAAGCAAGAAAATGAGAACAGTCTTTCACAGGTCTGGGTAGATAACTGGTGGTCAGGACCCACCAAGGCAAGGAGTGCTAGTAAACACTTCAGGACTGCTGAGTTCCCTGAAGCAAATATTTTTTCTATTTGATGCTCTTCCTTTCGCCATTCAAGTTGCTAATAAATTCAGATGTTTGTAATAGGTTAACCCAATTTCACTATTCTAAACAACAATAAAGAGCTGAAAAAAAGCTACTATGTTGGTGAGAAGAGGGTGCTTCGTGGGGACAATTCTTGGCTCCTCTTAGCCTAATTGGGCTCAACTTTGGAAAGTCAGTCTCTTCATCAAGTTATAGGATTAGAAAGAGATCAAATAGAAATGCAAGATTTTAATTCAGATCTCATAACTGAGAGTCTGGGTTGAGTTGCCCACTGCTTGGATGTTTGCAGGCTATCCATGAAGAAATATTAAAACATTTTCAGTTAAACAATAGGGCAGTGGTAACATAACTTACAATACATGCTTTTTCAAACCATGTTGTATGTCTTAGGCTGAATATGTTCAGAATGCCATTGATTTAGATACTTTATTTCTGTGTTTGAATACCAGAGTAAGACACCTATTACCATAATTGGAAATTTCCAAATGTAAAATTTCTTCAGAATCCCAATGCTGAAGAGTACATGGCTTTAAAAGATAGCATGCAATTTTGTTTTATTGGTTTTCTTTTATGCATGAAAAATTGTCAGTCTTGTGCATGACTGCCATCAATACCCCATTATTGGTTAGAGATTAGAGAGGATTTTGAGTACAGGATGTCTTGGTTCTGGTAGAACAGATACACTCAGAGTAAGGAAGTGACTAGGTAAAATGTGTCAGTGCATCTCTGTGTAATTTCCTCTGAGTTGAGCATTTATTTAAATGAAATAAGTAAGGAAGATGCAATACTGACTTGAAAGCTTAATTTTTTTTAGATAAACTTTGTGTTTGGAAATAATTTCAATCTTGCAGAAAACTTGTAAGAATTAGAATAGAACAAGGTACATCATAAAGTCTTTAGCCACATTTACCTATTAACATTTTACCCAATTTGTTTTATTATTTGTGGTCTCTCTTCATATCTACATATATCTCTATAATACAATATATGTAAATGTATATATACTCATACTATTTTTCTGAGCCATTTAAAAGTAATTTACATGTATATTATGGTCCTTTATCACTAAATATTCCAGGGCACATTCTTAGTACAGGGATACTTTTTTTTTTTTAAACTTTTTTTTTTTTTTTGAGATGGAGTCTTGCTCTGTTGCCCAGGCTGGAGTGCAGTGGTGCAGTCTTGGCTCACTGCAACCTCCGCCTCCCGGGTTCAAGCAATTCTCTGCCTCTGCCTCCCGAGTAGCTGGGATTATAGGCACCTGCCACCACACCCAGCTAATTTTTTTTAATTGTTTTATTTTTAGTAAAGATGGAGTTTCACCATCTTGGCCAGGCTGGTCTGGAACTCCTGACCTCGTGATCCACCCACCTCAGCCTGCCAAAGTGCTGGGATTAGAGGTGTGAGCCACTGTGCTCGGCCTAGTACAGGGATATTTTCTTATGTAATCATAGTACAACTATCAGCTTCAGGAAATTTAATATCGATACAATACTTTTTATATGGGCTAGTGTCCATATTTTAATTTTGCTAATTGGCTCACTAGTGGCCCTTGTAGCATTTTGACTCCTCAATACAGGATCCAGTCTAGGGTCAGGTATTGCAATTAGTTGTCATGTTTCTTTAGCCTCCTTTAATCTGGAGCATTTCCACAGGCTTTGTCTTTTTTGACATTGGCGTTTTTGAAGAATACAGGCCCCCATTTTTTTTTATATATATATATAAAACACCTCTCATTGTGTCAGATGCTTCCTCGTGGTTAGATTCTGGCTAACCTGAATGTGTTCTTGGCTGACATGCACCGTAGCTGATGGGACACATCCAGAGGTGAACGATGGGCATCTCCCCCTCATTGGTGATGTTAATTTTGATCACTTAGTCAAAATGTTTCCTGGGTCCTCCATTATATAATTATTAGGTTGATGCAAAAGTAATTGTGATTTTTTTTTCCATATTTTAAATGGGAAAAACTGCAATTACCTTTGCACCAACCTAATACTGTATTTCCCCTTACAACTAATAAGCAATCTGTAGGGAGGCACTTTAAGACCATTCAAATGTCTTGCCTTGCATCGAAATCTCCCCTCAATTTTGCATCCATTGATGATTCTCTTCTGATTTGATCTTTGCTCTAACGATGATGTGCAGGCTTTCTAATAGTGAATATCAGGCAGCCAAAAGGTGATTCATTTTATAATGTGTGTAGGCTTAGTGAGGGTGGCATAGATTGGAACTCACTAGAGCTCAGAAGTCAGTTTATTCCCTGTTTTTCTTCTTTTTGTCCCATCAACATGGATTGATCCACACGTGGGCTTCTGAGGGTTTCCTTCACTTAACTTGTAACTTGATTTTTCTTTCCCTGACCCCCTAACCCTTGGGAAAGGAAGGGGAGGGGGCAAAAGAAACACCTACCTGTGAAGTATCAGCAAAACAGTGTGTAGAAAGAATAAATAAATAAATAAAAGAAGGCAGGCAGCCAACTCTGAGGAGCTTGCAGCCCCGCCCCCTGCCGGGGTTTGCACTTCGGGGCCCACAATTCGCACATTACCACGGGATAACCAGGAAGATAGCAGTGCCGCGCCTCTCTGCCTCGGGGGGGGGGGCTGCTTTTCCTGTAGCGGAAACTATTTGTGCTCCCCAGTAAGTCCAGGAACAATCTCCACTTATTATACCAGCTCAGAACCCAGGACTGTTTACAGCCTCACGCAGACAAGACACTAACCCTCACTCATTACTGTCGCTGTGGGGATTTATCTGCACCACACTCTCCTTGCATGTGGCCCACATTTTCATCCAGTAAAATCACATGTTGTTAACTCAATATATACAGTGAAAACAGCATGAATAATGGAACCTTTAATCCTTATTTCTCAAAATTAGATTTCCACTTTATCCTTCTCCCATTTCCTCTCTTTTAAAAAATTCTTCTCAGTGCCAAGCAATAGATGTTGTCCAGACCTTAACTCTAAGGAGATTCTATGGTATTTCTATTCCATTACCAGGTACCTTTGTGGATTCAATTTCTGGGTGGATTGATTGTATTTCTTTCCCTGGTTGCTTCACATGTGACTCATGAGAAATTAACATCATCCTTGTCACAGATGATGAGAAAAAGAGCCCTATTGACACGGGGTACGTTTCAACAAATGTAATAAAAACTTTAGGTCTGATTAAACTCACACCTGTAATATCAGATGTGAAGACACACTCATACCCTGTGTCTTTATCTCCGTCTTCCTTGGTAAACAGATTTATAGGGTTGGAATTATTTTTGGTATTAAATCAGAAACCAACAATACTAAATCAAACTTCAAGGATGGGGTTTGTCAGAGACTGGCGTGTGGCATTAAGACCCCTTTCTTAACATGCATAGTATTATACATTATGCAGACAATACGTCCAAAGGTTGTGCTAAGGATATTCAGCTTGGTAAATTTTCATTATTCCAGAGATGGGCTGGTAAAGCAAAATGAACCAGATTTACATTGACCATTAAGAGGGTCTACATGCATAGACTGTCTATTTCTTTTAAAGGTTTAGAAATGGTTGCCCACATTTTTTAAGTACCGTGGCTCTGAATATCTGAGTAAACACACACACACACACACACACACATATATGCGTGTGTGTATATATATGTGTGTGTGTGTTTGTGTGTATATGTAATACATATGTACATTAAGATATATGTCTCTCTATATATTTGTGTATGAATCAATGATTTGATTCCATGGGTTTTATGGAGCATGTCATAGTGGTTAAGAGGCCCATTTTGGGAGTCCACTGAGTTCCAGTCCTGACTCTGCCCTATTTGTTAGGTAGCCTTGGCAAAGTTTCCCTATCTGTAAATGGGGATAAATGTGAACCCTTCTTGCAAGGCTGTCGTGTAGACTGAATGTGGTAATATATGGACAAGGCCAGCATGTGTCTGGTGTATGCTAAGTGTACAATCACTATTAGTTGTCATTACCAGAGAGGCAGTTTAGTATGAAGTGGATGAATTGAACTGTGACTCATATGATTCTGATCAGGAACTACCATTTTGAAAAAAACCAATTAAACATAATAGCTAAAACGAGATTGACCTACATTGATCAGGAAGGTGGCCAAGAAAATAGATTGATTAGGTGTGGCCTATTCATTTCATAAATTTAAGTCTATCTTAATGATTTCTATCAAAATACCTTATAGACTTATCTTGCCTCATGGTCACTCCCAAATTTTAAAGAGATGGACAAATTTAAAAGAGATTTTCTTTCATGTGCTTCTGTCTTTGGATGGCTCATTTTTTTAAAACAAACAAAAGGCTTTCTTTTTCATGTACTCGAAGAGATGTAAAGTCTTTATTAGTGAAAACTTCATGACGGAAAATAAGTTGCAGCTCATTACTGTTTAAGCCTTTTCATCTTACTGGGCTTTAACGGTTTGACAATAAGGCTGTCCATGCACCATGGTAGCCCTGGGGAGGAAAGCTGGGGACCTGTTCCTACTGGCTGTCAGCATTTGCTCAATTTAGAGACTGTCAGTGAGGAAGGGAGAAGGGTGTGTGAGCAGGTCTGGTGCTCTGGTCCAAACAGAACACCCAGGTGCACCATCAGTTACCAGAGCAGCCAGCAGCCAGCCATGCCCTGGCTTGTCTGTTCCTGTGGTACCTCACTCCAGTAACACCTATCACTTTGCACCGTCAAGGCATTTCTCAAGCATTAGCAAAACCTCTTTGTTAAGAAAGCAGACATTCCTGTTTTTACTTCATACAGAGGGAGATAAAGGTGGACGGAAGAAAGAGATTCACTTCATCAACCGAATATTCCTGTGTTAGCCTTGGCAGAGGAGCCTATTCCTGAAAGCAGGAGAGGTTGATTTCTGCAGTTTCCGCATCCAGTTGACTAAGCCTTTCTTTTAACCAGGTGACAAAAAATACCCCCACATGCATATAGACTCCTATAACTTGTGGTTTCAGGATCTCTCTCTCTCTTTTTTTTTTTTTTTTTTTTTGAGACAGAGTCTCACCCAGGCTGGAGTGCAACGGCTCAATCTTGGCTCACTGCAACCTCTGCCTCCCAGGTTCAAGCGATTCTCCTGCCTCAGTCTCCTGTGTAGCTTGGATTATAGGGGCGTGCCACCATGCCCGGCTAATTTTTGTATTTTTAGTAGAGACACAGATTCACCATGTTGGTCAGGCTGGTCTCGACCTCCTGACCTCATGATCCACCCGCCTCGGCCTCCCAAAGTGCTGGGATTACAGGTGTGAGCCACTGCACCTGGCCCAGTATCTCTTATGTGACTTTGTCAGACCTACAGGATCACTGAAGCAGTCAAGATAGACACATGTGTGCATGTGCCCACCCATGTGCATATGATCTTGAGGTTAGAGAATGATGTTCACCCATGAAGTTCCAAATAAAAGAAGAGCAGACAGGGTCAAGGACGAGTTAAAGATGGTTATCTTTTGTGAAGTTCCTGAATTTACTGAAGTTTGTTAGTGTTATAGCCTGACCGTTCGCCTATGGAGTCTTCTCTTTTGTTCTTTAAAGAGGTGATGACTATACAGTTAGCATTGGTTTTCTCATCTGCCTTATGGCAAAATAATCTGTTCTACCTTCCCCCTTTCCACCCCCTTCCTCTGTGAGTACAGGGCCCTGAGATGTGGTAAATCGCCGCTGTCCCAGAACAATCCACTGCTCTGTGTACCCTGTGGAGATCAGTTTTGGTCATAGCTGGCGGGTGCCCATTAGCAGATGGACAGTTTTACAAGTGGCAGCATTACTTCATTTCTAGCCTGTTCAGTTCAGACCCTGCAGCAGATTTAATGACTGGATGTGTGATTGCTTTAGCAATGTGTCATTTTCTCTGAAACTGAATTTGTTTTAAATGGTGTTGTAAGGTTTCAGTAGTTGTGGTGTAGGATGTTGTCAATGCATAATTGTCATGAAGCCAAGGGAAATGAATAAAATGGGTAATCCATCCAATTCTTATTAATTAGTGATAGGTTTTTAACAATATCCAGGCCACTGCTCTTTGTCTCAGTGCAACCTGTCTTCAGTGCTGTCTCACTTACAACTTCAAGGCCAGGGGGCAAGTTCCATTTAAACGAAGCTGCATAGCATGTAGCACATTTATGCTGTTTACATAGTAGTTGGTTATTTTGATGAAGGCCTAGCTATAATTTCTCTGTGGTAAGGATGTAATAAGATAATATTTAAAAACTTTAAGCAAGTTTATATTTAATTATATATCTTACTCTGTCTTGAAAGTGGGAAAAACAGATACAGAAAGTACCATAACTTTAAAAAAAAGATAGTTCAATAAGATTTCAAACAGTTAAATATATGAAATTCAGAAATAAATGCATACTTCTGAATTGCACTGGATTTAGTGTATATTGTGACTCTAGGTCAGAGTCACAGAATTAATTTGGACTTTGGGAAATACCTTTATAGGAGAGGAAATTTGTCCTTTTGTTATGACTTAATAGCAAAGAAGCTGTATTGATGTTGCAAATATGAGTTGAGGTCAAATAGTTACAATAACTGCATCCATAGCATGGTTTGGTGACTGTGAAGGATGTTATGTCAGGTGGTTAGTCAACTGATGTCCATGTGTTGAACTGATTTTTTGCTTCTGTGTGTGAGTGAGTTGCACGAATGTAAACTCCTCTACGGTTTATTCAGCTTAGATTTTTCATGAAGCCTATGCTGTTCCTTATAACAGCCCTGTAATGAGTGGTAAGCCTACTATAAAAAGGTACAGAATGCAGTCAAAGTTTACCCTTGATGGGTCACCTCTGCAGTGTTGTGCTGCATAAAGATCTAGAAGAAACAGAAGGGTATGACCAAGGCAGTGGCTTATAATGTTATTCAGATTGCTCATGGTGATAATCTACCAAACTGAGAGTAAAACAAAACACCCATCCCTGTAGGAAATAGGATATTGTTCCTTTTAGAAAAGGTACCTAATTTTTTTCTTCCTTCTCTGTCCAGCAGGGGGTAGTCTGACACCAGCATTGTTTACAAAAGGCATTGAAAAAGAGCTCTCAATCTGTAGTCACTTAGATGTCTTCCACTGGAGGAAGAGCCATCCAAACCAGGACAGATCTTGCTAGCTTGATGAATCAGACCTGCCACTCAAACATAGCATTAGATGATATTAGCACAAAGGCAACGACTCAGCTATTTTAAACTGTGTCTTAACTGCAGATAAAAGAAATGAAAGATAGCATTTAGTTTCTTGCACAAGCATCTCATGTTTGGCAGATTCACATATGCTTCTACTTCCCAGGTGTGTGTAGCTGCACTACTTTATTTCACCTCTTGAGAGTCTGCCCTTTAAGGTTGTGATGTTGGCCCCAGAGCCACCACTGCTAAATCAAATCGTTGCGCTGATGGTGGATGTCAGCATAAAAATGGGAAGGTCTTCATCCTGCTCCCTTCCTGGCAGCCTGAACTCCTGATTTGACCGCTTCTCTAGTTAAAGACGAGATAGATCCTAACGTGCAAAACTGTTCTTAGGTGTTAGAAAATTGAAAAAGTACAGCATCTGCTGATTCCTACACAACAAAGTGGTATATATATATACATATATATATATATATATACATATATATATACATATATACATATATATATACATATACACACACACACACACACACACACACACATTTGAGTGTCTAGAATTGTATTATATGGAAGCCACTAGCCACACATGACTTTAAAATTTAAATTCACTAAAATTACATAAAATTGAATGCTCAGTTCCTCAGTTGCTCTAGACACATCTCAATGCTGAATAGCCACATGTGGTGGGTGGCTACTGTATAGGACTATGCAGGAGTGAAATGTTTCCCTCCCCTCAGAAAGTTCTGTTGGACAGAACTGGACTAGGGGCAGTGTGTGGATACTTATTCGTGGTCTTTAAACTAAACCTTCCCCCCAAAAAAATCCTCATGCTACTGTCTTAATTCGTCACCTCACCTGAGTGGGAAGAGGGATGCCTGCTTTTGCAGGGTCATCCAGTCCAACTCTCCCTGTAAACTACTGGCAGTGTTAGCATGGTGATAAATGTCTGTGTCTACAGGTAACCACAGTCCCCAAATGCCGCCTTCTTTGTGACTTCTTTGGTCAGATTGACCAAACACAGTCTGCAGGGAACATTAGTTTTTAAAAAAAGATAATTGGAAAGAAGGGAAAATAGGTTATTTAGCCTGGTACAATTTATTCACAGGTGGCATTTCTTCCACCTGAAGTGTTAGAAAAGATAACTGATCTTGGGTAAGAAAACATGCCAAACTTGGTTTACATTTTTGCAGTTATGGAAAGCTCCTCTCCATACTCATTTTTTAACTTCTCTCCCAGTTCCTTCATTCAAAATGTGAGGGTTTAAAACACTTGGATGGTGTTTAAAGGAGAATACTTATTTAAAACACTGCAAAACTGTTTACTAGCCTGAGTGCAAAGAAGTGAGACAGGTACAGTTAGTGCAATTATTGATGGCACTCCCTTTGTCTCTTAAAAATGTCATAGTATGGGTGATAAATTATATGGTTCATATAAATTACATGTTTTGTACTAAATCCTAAATGTATACAAATTGACTAAATTTAAGGATGCCCTCCTTGTTTATATTTTAGTTTGAATTTTCCTCTGAACTGCCATAAAGCTTACTTTCAACATCTCCAGTTCTCTGTTATCCCCTCTCTGCTCTGATCAAAAATTTATCACCCAGGAAGTCTCCTATCTCCTTTTAGTCCCCATTCCTATTCCTGTCTCTTCCTGGGACATCATCTTAAAATTCTGAAGGACGATACCATTATTACATTTGGATTTACACGCTTCTGAAAGAACATCAGTCTTGTCACCACGAGACTGTTCTTTTGTTGTGATGCTGATTTATTTTACAACATTGGCTGATTCTGGCCTTTTGTGCCTCAGTTGTTCCGTTTATTAAGTGGGAATATCTATACTTTAAAACTGCCTCATAGGAATGTGATAGAGCGAAATGTGTTTTTTTTTTTAGTGCTTTGAAGTTTCTAGATGAAAGACGTTGCCATAATTCAAAGCATTAGCTAAAACAGATACCAAATTGTTTTACATATGTATATCATTTAATGTCTTTAGATGAATTGCATACTATCCTTAAAAAAAATCCACCCCTTATGCCTTATTACTCACCACACCCGTGAGTTAGGAAAATGACAGTGGTTACCCATGCCCTCATGAATAGCTGGAAGTACTGGTTATAGGGTCTTCCCTTTCCTCCCAAACACCTGCAAGTAGAGGAAGAGAGGGCACATTTTCTCAGGGTACAATAAGTCAGCAGCCTCTGACAGAAAGGCAGCTGCCGAAAGCCTTGTCTGGGTTGCACATGATTTCATTTGCATTTTGATTTCTGTGATTTAACTGAAGGCACAGGTTGTCTCTGCCAAATATCCCTGGCCTACCAAGGGATCCAAGGTAGAACTGCCCAGAGCAGCCTGACTTATGAGGACTGCCACTGCAGCACAACCAGCGCATCCCTAAACATTTAGTAATAAAAAATCTGTTGTTCTTTAGTCGCCAGGATTTAACAAGCCTAATCCCTAGGAGAGGTGATAAAAATTCATTAATCTAATTAAATACTTCTTATTGCCAAAGTGACTTTGTAGAGTAGCTTTGCTGAAGGATAAGTGCAAAGTAAAATGGGGTCCCAGCAGAGAAACAAACGTTAGACTTGAGCAAGCTGGTGCACGCTTCATTAAACTCATAATTATCCTTTGGTTCTAAGTAGCTGATAATATTTAATGAGTATCCAAGATAATTTAAAGAAAATGTTTACTAATGAGGTACAAACAGTGCCATGGAACACGGATACCTAGGGTGCCATAACCATGTATCTTCCTGCTGAATCTTGTTCGTAGGGTCTTGAGAGGGAGACCGCAGGCATTGTGACAGGCATTTGAACCGAGTGAAATAAATTTCATGGTAAAAAACCACATCACTGGAAGCCAAATGTGTAGAAAGTTCTATGAGGCAGAAAGAATGCTGAAAGAATGCTAAGGAAATTTATTACTGGAATAGGGGTTTGGAAAAGGAAATATATTGAGCAAAGACCTAACGCCCTGAAACATGAGAAATAGTTGAAGAGCTTAAGTGTTTCAGATATTTGAGGAGCTGTCCCATGGAAAATAACTAGATTTGTCCTCACTGACATAGTAGCACAAAAAGAGGACCCATAGGTGGAAGCTCTGAGGGGACAGACATAAAGGAGAACTTTTAAATACTTGGGACTGACTGAAAGTAGAGTAGGCTTCCTTGAGGGATGATGAGTACCTAAACATTGTCCATTGACGATTTTGGGGAAAATATTGAAGAGAGAATCCTTGTAAGTTTTCTAAATATTCCATTCCCCTCTCTGTGCTGGAGAATTACGTATCTGTGGAACTCAGGAGTTGATCATATGACTTACTCTGGCCAATGAGATATAAGCAGAGATGACATCTGCCACTTCCAGGCAGAAGGTTTAAGAAAAATGGTATGGTTTGTCGTGTTTCTTTCCTGTTTACCACAATAACTGTCAATGTGTATAATTGTTAAGTATAATTGTTAAGAATCAGCCTGGCTCCAGGTGAACATAATATGGAGCAGACCCACAGCTGACCTGCAGTAGATACGTGGCATGAGCAGAAACAAACCTTTGATGTTTTTTGAACCATTTGGATTTTGGGGTTGTATATTACTGAACATAACAGAGCCTATCCTGAGTGATAACAGACTCTATTCTATATGAGGTGACCTCTAAAGCCACTTTCATAGCTGAGGTTTTTATAAATACTTTGATAAGAAACATTTCAGGATGTGATGCTGTCTGCAGTATCATTTATGTCTAGCTATTTAATTCCTTACTTCTTTCATCACAGTTGAGTTGTAACTGGCAGAGGTTATGAAGTCAATGAAAAAATCATGAATTGTCAAAATTACCCTTGAAAATAATTTAAAACACTCACAAAGAACAATAAATATTGTAGTATATATGCAACTCTATAAGTGTGATATATACATTTATAATGAAGCCGTTGGATTGTGTTTTTGAGAATCATATTGCATGGCAATACCCAACTTTAAATTCTAGAATTACACATAGTGTAGCAAGATGCTCATATTTTGAGAGTCATTGGAAAACTGAGGCAAGACTGATTGAGAAAATAGATATTTGTGTCTTTCATTTCATTCTAGCCGGGAGCTTATGCTCACTGAGTGGAATAGAAGGTGGAAATGCCCTGTGATTTAAATGTTCTTTCTTTCTCCCTACCCTCACCCAGGTGCATTAAATTCACCTAAGCCACATATGCTTATGATGCAATCTGTTGTACTGAATGAACTTTCTTCCTTGTTGTCGTGTGAGTGTTGGCAACCAAGGTCAGACCATGAATGCAAATTGCAGGTGACCGCAGGTGTGGGGAAACTACCAAAGTTGGACAATATCCTTTTGTGTTTATTCTCTTTGAGGGAACTTTTGTGGGGAAGTTGTAGCCAGGGATTTCTGGGGAGAGGTGTGGCCTTAAATCCTCCTCCAAGCTCAACATCTGCCAATCTCTACCTTGTCTAGGAGATGACAGAGCAATAGACTCAAAACAAGTGGGCAACCACATTCTCTTAGCCTGGTTGATTTATGAATAAAGCAGCATGGAAACAAATACACATGAAACAGACTATGATGCACAGGGAAGGCAGTCAGATTGAGAATAAGACTGATAGTCCTGTGGCGTAAGAACACTATGAATTGTGTTTCATTTTCTTTCCGACTCACTTTAAGGGGAGACTAGTAAAATAGAGAGATAAAACACTTTACAGGCTCCCCTCTTACTGACAGCAGCAATGTCAGTGTGTTGGGCAAAGGGAAGAGGATGAGAGTGAGGGTAAAGGTGAGTAGCTGGGTTAAAAGGAAGACAAGGCAAGGCCAGTCTCATCCAAATCTTTATGCAGCAAGGCATCAAGAAAGCACAAATTTTTTGGCACAGATTAGAGGAAAATATTAAATAAACCACCAGCTTCATGTCAGTCAGCAATTGCAGCAGTCTAACATCCACCACTCCTCAAAATCTGTAGCTACTCAAGGTTTAGGGTCTTGGATATTGTAGTAGACTGAATAAAGACTACCCAAAGATACCAAGTTCTGGAATTTGTAAATGTTATCTTATTTAGAAAAAGGGTCTTTGCAGATATAATTTTTAAAAATCTCCTAGATTATCTAGGTGAGCCCTTAACTCCACCGCAAGTGTCCTTCTATGAGAGAGGCAAAAGGAGATAGGATGGGTAGAAGGGGAGCTGTGGTCATGGAGGCAAGTAGTGGAGTGGTGTGGCTGCAAGTCAAGGAATGCCAACAGCCAGCAGAACTAGGAGTGGCAAAGAACAGATCCTCCCTTAGAGCCTCTGCAGACAGTGCAGCCCTGCTGACACCTTGATTTCTGATTTCTGGCTTCTGGAACTGTGGTAGAATAAGCTTCTGTTGTTTTAAGCCACCCAGCTTATGATAATTTGTTATGGCAGCCCCAGGAAGGAAATACAGATTTCTAGTGAAAAATGTGAGTGGATCCTGGGCCACCATTTCTTGAATGCTGCTGGCCAGGCACCCAGCTTCCTAGGAAGTGGGTAGCAATTTCCACAAGGGGTTCTGTCAGATCTCAGTTTTTAACCAAGGGCCCTGGTTTCAGTATGGAAAACCTCCTGTTTCCTATTCCAAAAGTTTTTAATCTGGTGAAAGGCGAGGGGCCCAATTGCTCCAGGATAGTGTTAAGGACAATCTGGACTGGACCTCATGATTCTGGTGAGCTACTGGGTAGTAGTCCAGGGAGAGGAAAGGAATTTGTATAAGAAGAGGCTGGGAATGGGAAACTTGATTTTTATTACCTTGAGATGTCCTCTTCTACTGAAATGAATGCTTCTGGTTAAACTCTATATGCATGTAAATTTCAGTCTTTTCCAACCCAATAGGAGACTGGTTGCCTAATAAGTGGGAATTAGGGGGTCTATAAGCTATAATGGTTTGGCTTCTGTTGCTTCACAAGAGGTGGAATTCTTGCTAATAATAGAAGACTGGCAACACGCCTCGATGATATTTTCAGAAGAGTACATATATAAAGAGCTCATCAACAGGAATCAGGTAAGATGACTTCTTAACAGTACTCACAAGGCTCACAACTGGGGGGTGGTTTTAATGCAGGAAGAGTGTAATTTTAACAGCTGCATCTCTTGCTTCTGAGAGCGGTTTTGCAGATGTGTTACCTATTGTGCGGCACAAAAGGTGCCAGCATAGTAAGCAGTCATCAATACCGAGTCAGGAGCTGTCTGTTCACATCCTGGAAATATAAGCACATGATAACGGCCTGAATACTTCATCTTGTAGACACAGTGAGATTCATAAAACTGTCTTTTAGCCATTTTAGAGTTGAATCTTTCTCACCCCCCAAAGCACTCCTTCAAAAACTAGCAGGCATTTTACAATTGAGCAGAGAGGCTGATACTTTTAAAACTGCTTTAAGGGGCTTAGTAAATGGAAATAGCTGTCTTAACTTCAGACCAACTGGGAATGCAATTTCTATTTTATGTAAAATGAAATGATACCTGGTTAGCTTTATTTTTTAATACTTACCTTTATTATTTTTTCTGAATTTTATGGATGCTATAGAAATATTCCACTTATAAAATTATATCCCCAGTTTTAAGGTATGCAGAATGATTGTTTAAAGCAATCAGAAACTTTCCAATTCTTAGTTCACTTTTGGCTCAGTTGCCCCTTGCCATCCTCAGCCCCCACTCTGACTAGTAAATAACCTTGTCCAGATATATACTTGTAGTGTGAAATGGAAATTTGAGGCAATTTTCTGGGTACTTGATAAGACCTCATTCTACCCAGGAAATGCTTTGGGCTAATCATCCAAATAGTGGTAACTTCAGTTTTCACCTTTCCAGTTAAGACCATTTGAACTCTACATTTCCCAATTTTCTTTCTATCCTATAAATCAAAAAGTACTTGTTCTACATCTCATTCTCTTGCTCTCTACCTTCCAAGGTGACACCTAGGATTTTTTTGCTAAAAGAATTGCTGGGTTTCATACTTAGCTTCGTGTGTTTGTTTAGGAAGGGAAAAGACTTTTCCTCTGAGATTTAAATTTTTTTTAGTGTACAGTTATCTGTTCGAAAAGACCATGTTCTATATACCCTGATAGCCAGTAAAAGGTACGGGCAATTTTCTCCTGATTGTTTTAAAGTAAAAAACAAAAGAGAAAAAAAAACTACAACAGTTTAGAAGTTTGTTTCTGAGCTTCCTCAGTCTTTTAATATATTTCTTAGGAAACATGTCTTGGGCTGGAACATATGCATGAAAGAAATATGCTTCAGTCCCAGCCGAAGCAAATGCCTTCCTCAGAAGCTGTAAGTTGGTGAGGGATGGGGAAGCATTTCCTCCTACCTTTAGTGAGAGAGTACAGTGATCCAAGCTGAAAAGAATAAGATAAGGATAATTTCTGCAGCACACGTGGATTGCAGAGAGAAACTCACAACATTTGGTAACAGAAGAGAGTTAACTGTGCCTCTAATATAAGGAGAGCTTATATTTATTTACTGAAAAGAAAAGACTATGATTTCTTAGTATGGAACTACTGGCTTTGTTTTCTGGAGATTCAGTTCTCCTGCATTACTTCAATTTTTACATTAGTATGTCCATTTCTCCCCGTCCTCAGAGAGTCATTTGATTTCCAGTACATCCTATAGCAACTCAGTTCTGCGCCATCAACATGGACTGAAAGGCAGGCCTCATACATACCATATTACGCCTCTAGTTGTTGACTTTATTGATGTGGTTTTCTACTTTTATGATCTCACATTCTGAGTTGTATGTGGACCACCTGGCAGAGCTTGGTACTTCTGGCAGAAATTTTTAGGTATAGATTAAATCTCACCTCAGAAAGATCATTTTAAAATCTGATTGACTTGAATTCATAATTTCTTGTAATGGCCTTCCACTGCACAGTGGAAGGTGAATAGTTTAAATTACTTAACCTCATAAGCCTGTGATGCTCCAGAGAATTCCCAGAAAGCTAGAAATGTTACCCACCACCAGTTCCTTTCAAACTACCTTACCCAGGCCACATCAGAGAGACAAAGTGGGTATAGATAGACTTCACCACATTTAGACCAGGACTTTTTTTGGTCACTAAC
Source organism: Homo sapiens (assembly GCF_000001405.40). Taxonomy (NCBI): domain Eukaryota; kingdom Metazoa; phylum Chordata; class Mammalia; order Primates; family Hominidae; genus Homo; species Homo sapiens. Next base: position 99,111,413 of record NC_000006.12, on the reverse strand, counting down.
TTACTTGAGAGCCTGATTAAAGCTATGGATTCTTTCCCAGTCTGTATTATTTTGCACATACAAACAGCTTTTTCTGCGTATTAGCCCTCTGAAACCCATCTATTAACTCCTATGAACAACCCAGACATTAGATGTTGCATTTCAAAATATAAAATGAAATGAACGGTCCATATTCTATATCTGATGGCTCCAAAAACTGTAAACAGAGAGTGACATATTATCTAAGAGATCTAACTCCTTTAGCTTAATGGACTGAGGGGTGGTAGGGACTTGCCCAAGGATTACTGACTCTTTTTGTTTCATTTACTTACAGCAAAGAAAATGGTTATGGTACATTTAGGAGATATATATTAAATGTAACATTTTGACCAAATACATTTTTGGTGAACAATTTTCTGTTTCTCTTGCTTTAAGAAATATATTGATAAAAATTTCTATTTTCATTGCTGTGACTGATATTTTAATTTACTACTGGACACCATGGACATTAGTGTCATAGAACATAGAGGCTCAGAAGAACAATCTGGGGGCAATGTAAACTGACATTTAGGATTTATTATTTCAATTATTTATCAGTTCAGAAAGTATTTATTGGGGACCCCTATGTGCCAGGCCATGCATGTTGCTGGGAATGTAGTAATGAACAAACCAAATATGACTAGGAATAAACTTTGCATGTCTTCTTTTTTTTTTTTTTTAAAGGAATGATTTCTCCCTGGGTGAGACCAGGAGGATCATATACATATTTTTGCATTTTTATCTTTAAAAAATGTCAGCAGTTGATTTCTGGATTAGGTAAAATGTGCTCTGAAAGAACACTTGGTGAGACTGAAAAAAGGAGGCAAACATGATGAACTTTAATTGCAAAAGCTGTAATGACTGATGGCAGGAATGGAGATTCCTCAGTGCAGGGAATAGTTGAGAGAAACCTACGCTAAAAAGTCAGAGAAGGGAAGCTTTCCTCAAGTCCGGAAAATTACCCTACTGCTTGAATTGTGAGAGAAGCTTACAATCATAATAAGCTATAGGGTTTAGAAGCTTTTTGAAAAACCTGAGGAAAGTCTAGTGAATCAATTATCTCCACAGCCATAAAAGAGCCTTCTCCTTTGTAGACAAAGATGAGAACAGCAATAAAGGCACACGAGGAACCGACACACCAGCTTCCAATCATATGCCTGCCTGGCTTACGGGAAAGGCTGACTGCAGGTGATAAAGCTGTCAAGGTGTAAAGGACACTTGCCAGGACTGGCAAAAGAGACACATGGAGTGCCAGGGCCTCTGGCCTGCTTTACTTTAAAAAGAGGACAGTAATGAAAGGGAAGGAAAAGAAAGATTTAAAGATTGCAAGGAGAACAAAATGTCATCAGTTGTCTTTTTGCATAGAATAAATGCATAACTCGGCAAGCTCTTGTTATTAGCCTTGTTGTTATTGAGAGTAGTTATTTTTTCCCTGATTTCCTCTACCTCTTAGTGTATCGGGAAGCTATATTTTTAGAGGTAAGATGAAAATAAAGTTGTGAATTACAAGTAAAATCAGTGATGAAATTAGATTATAAGCCAAACATTTATTATGCATTTCAAAAGCTGCTAACATGTTAGATCGGAATCCTGGGAAGTTTTTAAATGATGAATTATGTCAAAGTAAAATATCTTCCCTTACATTACTTGTAAATTACTATAGTGAGCAGTTTTGTACAGGAACAGGATCACCAATTTGATAGGGGAAGAAATCTAGATGGGGAGATTACAGTAGACCTCTGCCAGCCATGCTTACCCAAGATCTTTTGTGCACCATTTCTAAATTTTGGTAGTTTCTCATATAGTGAATATCATTTTCCCAAGACAGAAACCAAAACCTGTATTTCTCACATTCCCTTTTAGCTGGGGAACAGATATGTGACCTAAGCTTTGTTATTCAAATACACAAGAGTGAGACTTGAACACAGAAATAAGCAACAGGAGATAGTGTCCAGGTGAGGGGATCCCCTGGTCAGCACAGTGGTGAAGGCATCTGGTCTTGTAGGGGCATGTGATGGACCTCCTAGCTCCTTAGTTACCATACTGATCCTTGCTGTGTGGTTTTTCACTTTGAGGCTTAAACTAGCCAGTGTGGATTCTGTTGCTTGCAACCAAGAACATTAGCCAAAAATAAGGGTTAAACAATTGGTTTAAAACTGCCTGTTAAATTAGAAAAAGAATCAGAATTAGAATTAAAACTAAGCTGTCTCATTTGCAAGTTTCAGCTCATAGATAGAGTTAATCTAACACAGGGATTGCAAATTTGTGCCCTTGTTCATCCCACTTAGCTGAGATGTAGCCTTTCATTCAACATGCTAGGCCAGGAGTCAGCAAATCAAATCTGGCCCTCAGCCTATTTTTGTACATAAAGTTTTATTGAGACACAGGCATACCCATTTGTTTGTGTGTTATCTATGATTGCTTTCATACCGTAAGATGGAGTTGAATAGTTGTCATAGAGACCATATATTAATATTACAGCATGCAAAACTTAAAATATTTACTGCTGATTACCCTTTATAGAAAAAATGTGCTGATTATTCATTGGTAGGCAGTCACTAACAATCAGTAGGATCTGGCAGGTGAAATGGAAACTATTTGGCATCCCAGGTTTAACATGTCTTGTTAGTCATCCATTACAGCTTTTATTAGCAGTGTTAGCATTCAACACAATCTCTAACCAGAAAGCTAGTGGAGATGAGGATTGTAGGGACATAAATAAGAGAAGATATCCATACACATGTTAGAGGATATGTACACTACTTATTGCCTTGCTTCTATGTCAGGGATCCCCAAGCAACAGGCCATGGACCAGTATCAGAGCCAGGACACACAGCAGGAGGTGAGTGGCAGGCAAGGGAATATTACCGCCTGAGCTCCACCCCCGTCAGATCAACAGTGGCATTAGATTCTCGTAGGAGCGCAAACCCTATTGTGAACTGTGCATGCAAGGGATCTAGGTTGCGTGCTCCTTATGAGAATCTAATGCTTGATGATCTGGGGTGGAACAGTTTAATCCTGAAACCATCCTCTTGTTTCCCCATCTGTGGAAGAATCATCTTCCATGAAACTGGTCCCTGGTGCCCCAAAATGGGGGACTGCTGTTCTATATGACTTTTTATTAAAGTAGATAATTTAGGAAACTGTGCTTTCATACAAAAAGAGCAATCTTGGTTTTTTTCATACAAAAAGGCAATCTTGATTGTTTCTTTTTTTTCCTTTTAGTTTAAATGTATTATTTCTGTAGATGATGAGACTGATAGATTTAAAGTAGAAAGGTAAAAAATAAACCTGATTAAGATTGCTTTCTTCTAAGCTGGCATTTAGTAAATATCTTCAATTGACCCGAACATTGGCCACCCTTAAAAATGATTGATTCAAGTCCATCAGGGACTTGAGGAAAGTCCATAAGCCATAGCTCCAGATCCAGAAGGTCAATATTGTCTTGATACCAACATCTTGACTTTTGATATAGAGTGTTCCAGATAAGAGCAATCTGATTTCTCAAAACTACATGAGAAAGTTACTGAGTTGACTGTATCTCTCGCTGATAACTCCCTTTAGTTGCCTCAACTATGTAGAACTAGCAGTTTCCAGAATCTGATGATTTGTGTAAAGCTTGGAGGTTTTGCACATGCTGCTTGCAACCTCTGTGTGACATGTGCATTCTTCCTTGCCTAATTAACTCATCCTAGTCCTTCGTTACTCAAGCTCAGCACCATCCCTTCCATAAAAATTTCCCTGATCCCCATTCTCTGGGCTTACCTCTGTCGCTGACTCTTCAGTACCATTTTGTGTCTATTTACATCTCTGTCCCCTCTAGTTGACTATACAGGGGTTGGATTTTTAAAATCTCTGTGTTACCAGCACATACCAGAGTTCTTAGCACACAGTAGGTGTTCAAAATATGTTTATTGAAAGAGATACCTCCTTTATTGTGACCCAGAGGCAGGGCTCTGTGAGACTTTCTTTTGTGGCTTCTTCAGCAAAATATTACAGTGCATTGGGGCTTTTTTCTTGGCTCTCTCAGCTGGTTTGTCTGCTGGTGGGAGTGTAAATTATTCAACCATTGTGGAAAGCAGTGTGGCACTTCTTCAAAGAACTAAAAACAGAACTACAATTAGACTCAGCAATCCCACTGCTGGGTATATATCAAAAGGAATAGAAATCATTCTATCATAAAGACACATGTACGTGCATGTTCATTGCAGCACTATTCACAATAGCAAAGACATGGAATCAACCTCAATGCCTACCAATGGTAGACTGGATAAAGAAAATGTGGTACATACACACCATGGAATACTATGCAGCCATAAAAATGAATGAGATAATTCCTTTTCTGGAACATTATCCTTAGGAAACTAACACAGAAACAGAAAACCAAATACCACATGTTCTTACTTATAAGTGGGAGCTAAATGATGAGGACACATGGACAAAAGAGAGGACACATGGACAAAAGAGGGGAACAACAGACATTGGGGCCCACTTGAGGGAGGAGAGTGGGAAGATGGAGAGGTTCAGGAGAAAAAAATTGTCTGGTACGATGCTTAGTACCCAGGTGATGAAATAATCTGTGAACCAAACCCCCGAGTCATGAGTTTACCTATAGAACAAACCTGCATGTATACCCCTGAAACTAAAATAAAAGTAAAAATATTAAATAAATGAAAAGGGAAAAAAGGGAAGAAAATGCACCAAAATGCAATGCCATGCAACTTGAGGTAGTAGGATTCTGGGTGACTTTTTGTTTTGTTTTTATGCCTTCTATATTTTCTTTCTAACAATTTTTAAAAATCAACATTTTGACAAATAAAATGTATATATTTATTATACATAACATGATAGTTTGAAATATGTATACTCTGTGGAATGATTAAATTGAAGTAAATACCACGTGTATAATTTCACATACTTACATTTTTTTGTGGTGAGAACAGGTAAAATCTACTCTCTGATTTTCAAAAATACAATACATTGTTACTAACTATAGTCACCATGTTATACAATAGATCTCTTCAATATATTCCTCTTATCTAACTGAAATTTTTAATCTTTTGACCAACATCTCCCCAGCTCTGCCCACTCCCCCCTGCCCTTACCACCCACTCCCCATCGCCAGTCCTTGGTAACCACCATTCTATCTTGCTTCTATGAGCTTAACTTTTTTAGACCCTACATATAAGTGAGATCATGAATATTTGTATTTCTGTTTGGCTTATTTCACTTAGCATAATGTCCTCCAGGTTTATCCACTTTTTGCGAATGACAGGGTTTCCTTCTGTTTTAAGGCTGAATAGCATTCTATTGTATATATGAAGTGCCACATTGTATATATATGTATCACATTTTTTTATCCATTCACCCATTGATGGACACTCAAGTTGATTCCATATCTTGGCTATTGTGGATAATGCTGCAGTGAACATGGGAGTACAGACATCCCTTCAACACACTGATTTCATTTCCTTTATATGCATACCCAGTAGCGAGATTGCTGAATCATGTGGTAGTTTAAGGTTTAAATTTTTTAGGAGTTTCCATACTGTTTTCCATAATGGCAGCACTAATTTATACTCTCACTAACAGTAAATAAGGGTTCTTTTTTCTTTGCCTCCTTACCAACACTTACTATCCATTCTAATAGGTGAATCTCACTGTGGTTTTAAGTTGTATTTCCCTGATGATTAGTGACATTGAGCATCTTTTCATATACTTGTTGGCCATTTGTATGTCTTCTTTTGGGAAATGTCAATTCTGGTGCTTTGTCTATATTTTAATTGGGTTATTTGTTTATTTCCTATTGATTTGTAGGAGTTTCTTAGATATTTTTGATATTAACCCCTTATTAAGTGTATGGTTTGCAAATATTTTCTCCCATTTTGTTGGTTGTCTCTTCACTCTTGATTGTTTCCTTTGCTATACAGAAGCCTTTTAGTTTGATGTAATCCCGTTTTGTCATAGTATCTTTTTTAACTTCAACTTTTATTTTAGACATAGGGGGTACATGTGCAGGTTTGTTACACAGGTATATTGCACCCAAGTAGTGAGCATAGTGCCCAATAGGTAGTTTCTCAAACTATGTCCCCCTCCCTCCTTCCCTCCCCCTCCATTATAATAGTCTCCAGTGTCTACTGCTCCCATGTTTATGTCCTTATGTGCTTAATGTTTAACTCCCACTTATAAGGGAGAACATGCAGTATTTGATTTTCTGTTCCAGTGTTAGTTTGCTTAGGATTATGGCCTCCATCTCCATCCACGTTCCTGTAAAGAGCATGATTTCATTCTTTTATATAGCTGTGCCTTCCATATGAAATAAATTTTCTCTATGGGTATTTTAACTTTTACAAGCAAAAAATAGACATTAATAACAGTTGACTGTGCAACATAGGGAGAGCCTATCTTTAGAAACTAAAAATTTAAAAATTAAAATTAGGTGTGTTGGCACGCACCTGTGGTCCTAGTTTAGGAGGCTAAGGTGGAAGGATCTCTTGTGCCCGGGAGATCAAGCCTACAGTGAGCTGTGATTGTGCCCCTGCACTCCAACCTGGGTGACAGAGTGAGGCTATGTCTTAAATAAATAAATAAACTGAATAATGTGTTAAATAGATTAGTTATTATTTATTAGTTATTATAAAATTAAAACCTTTAACAAAACGTTAGCCAGTTTGCATACTCTAAATAAAATATCAGTAAGTAGGAAAAAAAGCAACCTCTGTCTAATTTCATAAAAGCTATATAATGAAACATTAAAATGGTTAGGATGAATATCTGGTCGTATGAGCTTTGATTTGGCCCTGGATTAACTCTAGAGTGGGGTCCTATGCTCAGCTTGCTTTTTCCTCATTTGTCCCAATGAGCACAGATGGCCAGTTTTTGAAATTGTCCTTATTAATAGGTTCTCTATATCCCATAGAAGGAATGCAAATGAAAAAGCTTTCCAGAAGCAGAAAGAGAAAGTCATTTTCACATACACTCAGGAAGGCATTCACTGCATATTTAGACAATGGGAGGGAGTGTATTATAGCATTTGCAGCCCAGCCATCAGCTACAGGGCTCGCTAGTGAAAACAACCCAAGGCAATAGACAGAGCATTGGTTACTCGAGTGTTAAATTTACCTATGGGCAAACTTAAGACAAAAGACTCAAATGCAAAGCCTTGCTGTTATGAACATAAATATGGAAAACGCTGAAAGGGAAAGCACTGGTGATTCTGACCATGCATTGAGAAAGTGTGTGAACCTGCAGTGGCAAGCTTGCAGGCACCCCCAAGATGGCTTGGGGGGGTGATCTCCTGGCGAGGGGATCGGCTTATATACATGCATGTAATACTGAATTCACCATAAAACCCCCACATCAGAGCACTCAGACAACAGCAACATTGTTAATGGTTTATGTTTACTCCAGAATATTTTTCACACTGTCATGTCACAATTTTTATCATACTGTCAAATGGTGACATTAGTATATGTCTAGTCTTTAGTTCCCAAACAATTAAGGTTCCAGGTTGAGATTTTTAAATTTTTATTTACTCTGTTACCTGATGATTCATGAGCAAGCACATCTGAAAGCACAGGTTAAAAATAAGCCCACATCAGGAATTCTTCTAGGTATGCATGGCTAGATTAAGGAGATGTCCAAATTTTTGGTGAAAACTTTTATTTCTCTTTAAGAACAAAACTTTAAATGCATCTGGAAAAGTCACTGGGTTCACAAATAATATCTCCTATATTACAAATAGTTTGGTATATGATTCTGTGATCAAATCAAATAATCTTTTTTATACCTGACCAAAACTACATTGTGGAGTTCATGTGCTGTTTGTAATCATTATAATCACACGTAACTCTGAACCTTGGAGCATTTGTCACTGTAGCATGGATATGATGATAATGATATGATGATGGTGATGGTAGGAAACGTAGGGCTTGAGGAGGTATTTCAGATGGGATCCTTCAGAAGCAAGTATCAGTTTTTAATAAATCAGTTTTTAAGTAAACCAGATAGTTGAAAGCACGTGCCTCTCTTTACCTCCAATATCACAGCTCTCTGGCAATTCATCTCAAAAACACAGGTTGGGTGAAGTGCCATCAACTCTGGTCAGTTCATTTTAACCTCAGGTCTGTTACTCAGCCTTGTTGAGGCATCAAAACTTTAATATTTTCTTCTGTCAAATCCCGACAAAAGATAGAATACTCTTGTACTGAGATGTGATTAAATTGTCTCTCCTCAGGAAAACCCTACATTTATAAATCTAAACGCTTTTTCCTCTCAAGGGGAAAGGACGATGGCCCTTTCTCATTAAGGTAACATTTTCTCCTCAGAAGCTGGGAGGGAGCCTTGATGTAATTTGATGGATAACAGCATTTATCTTTTGGAAGTTTTCTGTATCATCACTTGCATTACTTAAAGCCACCAAACTGCCCTGCTTGTTAGTATTTTGAACCCTCTGCAACTGCAAAATGCTCACTCTTCACAGTATTTGTGGAGGGTCTTCCCTATTATCATTTTCCAGATGAGAAAATGAAAACTCAAGGGATTAAGTAACTTCCTCAGATTTAGACAACGTCTGCCTATGCAGAGTGGATAGGAGGATAGATGGAGAAGCAAATGTCCTCAGAGTAGACCACAGATCTGATGGATGCAGGACATTGCCCTCTCTTCTCCTCTGGTCTCCCCTCTTCCCTCCCTGCTCCTTTTCTCACTGGGTCCTATTCCATGAATTGCGTGGTCATTGACTCAACTTTCCCCTCCTCAACATCTTACTCTGCTTGTATGAATGAAAACTTAGAGAGCTGGGGACTTTCGACAAGTCTCTGCTGGACCTTGTATAGTTTACAACCCATGGTCGGAGTATCTTGGGCAGAAGTTGACCACTCTTTTATTTCCCAGCACTGGATTTGAGCTGGGTATCCAGCAAGAAGGTACTTCATGCTATTTTTAAAAATTTCTTTTTTTTTAATTTAAAAATTTTGAAGGTACACAGTAGGTATAATTATATTTACAGGGTACATGAGATATTTTGACACAGGCATATAATACATGATAATCACATCATGGGGAATGAGGTATCCATCATCTCAAGCATTTATTCTTCATATTATAAACAATCCAATTACATTTTTCTAATTATTTTAAAGGTACAATTAAGTTATTGTTGACTATAGTCACCCTGCTGAGCTATCAAATAGTAAGTCTTATTGATTCTTCTTTTTTTTTCATGCTGTTTCTTATTTGCTTGGTTATTTTTGGCTCAATTAGGGTAACATTAATAAGGTAGCTTTGGGGTAGCCATTCTCTATTGAGGATCTTTGTGCCCATTTCTCTGTAGATGCCATTCATTAATCTCATTCATTCAATTTTTTTTCTCACTCAGCAAGTACCATGTATCAAGCACTTTCCCAGGCACTGGGGATACAGTGGCCAAGAAGAATAAGAGTACTATGCTCATGGAGCACATTCGAGAGAGAGAGAGAGAGAGAGAGAGACAAACAATGACCAAGGAAACAAATAACAAGGTAAGTTTACCTGAAGGAATAATGAGGGAAAGAAATGGGAACTTGACAGAGAGTATCTTAGGAAAATGACTCTTTAGAGTCATCTGAAAAGGCCACTCTAAGGTGTTGATGTTTGCGCTGATCCCTGACAAAAAGGAAAGACTCAGTTGTTCCAGGACCTAAAGAAAGACCATACTAGGTTATGGAAACAGGAGAATGCTCAGAGGTGGGGACAAGTTTGACTTATTCAAGGCAAGGAAAAAGAGCCTGAGTGGCTGGAGCAAAGTGAGTGATGGATGTGGTAAGCACATCCATCATGGGGCAGGGTTAGATCTTATCAGGCTTTGTTGACAACAATGATTCCCAGTCAGAACACACTGGTACAGTCACACTGGTTGTTTACAGTGAGCATCCATTTGATTGGTCAATGCTTTGTCTTAGCTGTTTTGGTGCTCACTCTGGTTACAGGTCATGGCGAGGATTATTCTACTGTAAAAGCATGTATTTCAGTATTTCCTGTGAATCTTCCCAGGGTATCACATTAGGTGAGTTTTCAAGAGCTGAGGAGCTTGGCTCCTGGAAAGGCAACAATTTTACCCCTGTTGCCCCTGTTCTTGTTCTGACCTTCCTGTTTATCCAGAATCATTCTAAGACACTTGCATTTCCCTTGGCAGCCCACGCAGCACTTAACCTCCACCATGCAAATTAGTATTAATCTATCAAGGATTCCAGGCCAGCCTGTTTTTGTCCCCATTAACCTCTGGCTAGCCCTACACTACTCCAATAAAAATAACTCCATTTCCTAATCAATGGTCACTTCCCGATGGAAATCATAATTATGGTTATGCAGCATTCAGTTAGCATACACAGCTTTTTATAACTGTGATTGATAGGAGTGAGGCAATGGGACTGAGTGGGTCGCATGCCCAGTTGTTTTGCTCATCTTATTTTCTGGGTTACATAGTGTGCATATACTTTATTATCCAAATAGGGGCACTTCCAAGAGTGAACAAAGATGCTATTAATAATTATGCTATGAAAACGGACATGAACTGGGGTGGGCAGTCACCCTAGGGGTTCAGTATTTGATACCACACACAGTTATTATGTTTTGTAGGATTTGTCATACAATGATGAGTTATATGAATGAAGAACCTTCATTCTTTCTTGCTCCTTATATTACCATCAAGTATGTTAATTCCATTTATCTTCTGGGTCTAAAGATAAAGTCACAGAATGACCTTTCCAACAGACTTTTTTTTTTTTTTGAGACAGGGTCTCACTCTGTTGCCTGGGGTGGAGTGCAGTGGTGCTATCATAACTCACTGCAGCCTCAGCCTCCTAGGCTCGAGCAATCCTACCAACTCAGCCCTCCTAGGAGTTGGGAGGAGCTGGGACTATAGGCAAGCGCCAGTATGCCCAGCTAATTTTTGTATTTTTAGTAGAGATGGAGTTTCACCATGTTGCCCAGGCTGGTCTGGAATTCCTGGGCTCAAGTGATCTGCCCACTTCGGCCTCCCACAGTGCTGGGACTATAGGTGTGAACCACCGTGCCCAGCCCAGACTGTTTTTTACTTGTGCCCTATGCCAAGCTTAAGGAGCTAAGCCAAAGCCTGTAAACTCAGTACTGCCCTGAAGCTCCAGTTGGCTAGCAAAGTGACTTAAGACAGCTTTAAGAGATGTCTTAAAGCTGTTTGCTTCCCTTGCCCCATGTTTACATCTCTGCCTGAGGAAAGCACCTCTGAAACGGAAGAGTTGGAGCTGGGGTGCACAAAATTTGCTTGATGATCTCTGGTTAGACCACCTGCTAGTGACAATGAAGGTGGAAAAGAAGTTGTTCTCAAAACAGAAAATAAATTGCCACAGTAAGAACCTGTCCTATATGCTAATAAGAAATGGACTGTCATGAGGGAAAAGAATGAATGAAGTGAACCCAAATTATTGCTATTAGCATTATGGGAAATAAAAATATGTAATCTTGAATATTCTCAATTGGCAAGAATAATTCTTTATTATTCTTTAATTTATTAGAAAATCTTTTAAAAGAGTCTTGGCTGAATGCTTGCTTGCTCATTTGTTTAAAGAGGACGCCACTTTTGGATAAATTTAACATTGTACCCTGTCCTCCCTCCCCAATCCATATTTAAGCTAAACTTCATTAGTCAAATTAAAGATGTTCTTCAGATACTGAATCTCAATGCATCTGTTCAGAAGAGATTCTTTTGATTGGGATGATGTTCTTGAAGATGCAAATTAATCCCAAACAGAACCTGATGGTTCATGTTTTCTGAGAACAATTTGTCTTCTTTAACATGAGAAACTGACCAGAGCATGCTGTGCAGAGAATATTTAGTTAAATAATTTAGACTAACAAAGTATCTTATAACACTCTTCCCCACTAGGGTTTTAGTAAGACATGTCAACAGGCTGAGATGTTGTTGACATTTACAGGGTAGCTCACCTAATTCTCCAATGACTCATCTCCTCCCTTCTCCCTGTCCACTGCTGTTTCCTACCCTTTTCCACTGTTCTTTGCACCTGCAAAAAAGGAGCCTTTTCCCTTTTTGGGACTGCTGTCCCTGCAGACCCCTGTTTTGTGTGCTCATTCAGTGCAGCTCAGTGTGGAAGCAAATATTTTTAGGAAAGGAATAAATAAAACAGGGATGGAGGTGTGGTTTGAGTCTATGGAAAAATAACAGATTACCCAGTGTGAATCCTGTGGATGTATGTTTAAGGATGCTTGACCTTAGAAGTGTCTCACCATCTAGACCAGTGCCGTCCCATTAAAATATGATGTGAGCCAAATGTGTAATGTAAAATTTTCTGATATCTACGTTAAAAAATACAGGTGAAATTAATTTTAATAATTTATTTTATTTAACCCTATATATGCAAAATATTATCTCAACATATAGTCAATATGAAAAGTATTAATGAAAACATTTTTTCCCTATACTAAGTCTTTGGAATCTGAAGCATATTTCAATCCAGACTAGCCACCTTTCACACATTCAATAGCCACTTGTGGCTGTGGCTACCGCAGTGGACAGGACAGTGCAGATCTAGGCCATTGTTACAGTGAAGTCAGTGAACAGATGCTACTCCATGAGCTATTTGCCATAGGTCCACAATGAGATAAGTTCTGAAATTAAGAAGACATGTTTAAAAACTTTTATTTTAGGTTCTGGGGTACATGTGCAGGTTTGTTATATAGATAAATTGTGTGTCATGGGGGTTTGGTGTACAGATTATTTCATCACCCAGGTAATAAGCATAGTACCCAATAGGTAGTTTTTCAGTTTGATACGGCCGTGATATCCAGGCATGGGATCAATTAAAACTTTTAAAATTTCAATAGCTTTAGGGATACAAGTGGTTTTTGGTTACATGGATAAATTGTATAGTGGTGAAGTCTGGGATTTTAGTGTACCCATCACCCAAGTAGCATATATTGTGCCCAATCAGTAGTTTTTCATCCCTAAACCCTGTCTCACACTTCCCTGCTATGAGTCGCCAGTGGCCATTATATCACGCGGTATGCCTTTGTGTACTCATAGTTTAGCTCCCACTTATAAGTGAGAAAATGTGGTATTTGGTTTTCCATTCCTGAATTATTTCACTTGGGATAATGGCCTCCAGTTCCACCCAAATTGCTGTAAAAGACATTATTTCATTCTTTTTTTATGGCTGAGTAGTATTTCATGGTATATATCTATATCTAAATCTATATCACTTTTTTTATCTACTCATTGGTGGATGGGCACTTATGTTGATTCTATATCTTTGCAATTGTGAATTGTACTGCAGTAAACATATACATGCAAGTGTCTTTTTGGTATAATGACTTCTTTTATTTGGGTAGAAACCCAGTAGTGGGATTGCTGGATCGAATGGTATACCTACTTTTAGTTCTTTAAGAAATCTCCGGCCGGGCACGGTGGCTCACACCTGTAATCCCAGCACTTTGGGAGGCCGAGGCGGGCAGATCACGAGGTCAGGAGATAGAGACCATCCTGGCTAACATGGTGAAACCCAGTCTCTACTAAAAATACAAAAACAAAATTAGCCAGGTGAGGTGGCGGGCATCTGTAGTCCCAGCTACTCGGGAGGCTGAGGCAGGAGAATGGTGTGAACCCAGGAGGCGGAGCTTGCAGTGAACCGAGATCGCGCCACTGCACTCCAGCCTGGGTGACAGAGCGAGACTCCATCTCAAAAAAAAAAAAAAAAAAAAAAATCTCCATACTGTTTTCCATAGAGGTTGTATTAATTTACCTTTCCACCAGCAATGTATAAGCGTTGCCTTTTCACCACATCCATGTCAATGTCTATTGTTTTTTGACTTTTTAATAATGGCCATTCTGGCTGGGGTAAGGTATCTCCTTGTGGTTTTAATTTGTATTTCCCTCATGATTAGTGATGTTGAGCATTTTTTTCATATCTTTGTTGGCCATTTGTATATCTTCCTTTGAGAAATTCTGTTCATGTCATTTGCCCACTTTTTAATTGGATTATTTATTTTTTTCTTGTGGATTTGAATTCCTTGTAGATTCTGGATAATAGTCCTTTGTTGGATGCATGGTTTGCAAATATTTTCTCCCATTCTACAGGTTGTCTGTTTACTCTGGTGATTATTTATTTTGCTCTGCAGAAGCTTTTTAGTTTAATTAGGTCTCATTTATTTATTTTTGTTTTGTTGCATTTGCTTTTGGGGTCTTAGTCATAAATTCTTTGCCTAGGCCAATGTCCAGATGAGTTTTTCCTAGCTTTTCTTCTAGAATTTTTATGGTTTCAGGTCTTAGACTTAAGTCTTTAATCTATCTGAGTTAATTTTTGTATATGGTGAATTAGGGATCCAGGTTCATTCTACATATGACTATCCAATTTTCCCAGTATCTTTTAGTGAATAGGCTGTCATCTCCCCAGAATATGTTTTTGTCTGTTTTGTCAAAGATCAGTTTGTTTTAAGTATTTTGCTTTATTTCTGGGTTCTCTATTATGTTCCATTGGTCTGTGTGTCTACTTTTATATCAGTAAAGCATGGGATATTTAAAAAATAATTTGCTGTTGTTGTATTTTAAGGATATTAGTCTGCAATTGATTAGGATGGAGAGCTGACTCTTCCTCACAGATAGCTTGAGAAGCCCTGCCCTAGACCTTCCCTCCTCCCAGCCTTGCATTTCTCAATCTCAGGTTAGCTGGGCAATCTGCAGAGATGGATCCATTGCAAATGACTAGGACACCTCATTGTGGAGCTGTGGCTTTATTCTACATCTTATCTTCCCAATGTTTCATGATATTTCACTGTTGGCCACCTCTTTTTTTCTTAAAATGTCCTCGCTCTAAGATTATTGGTTCTCTTAGATGATTTTTTCATCTTCCTCCCACCTTCTAATCCACATTCACCAGGGAATAGTACGGTTGGAAGTGAGCTAATTTGGGAACAGTAATTTGTCTTGAGCGTAGGATGGTGAGAGTGGGAAGCTAGGGGAAAGGTCGGCAGGGAGAGGAGCAGCGCATATGGAATTCAGATGAGAGGCGGATAGAGCTCACATAAAGGCAGCAGTCAGGTGGTGCAGAGGAGAGGAAAGGACCAGGTTGAAAAATGATTAGGAGGGAGACAATAGCAGGAGGCAGTTTTGTATATGGTGAGAGATAGGGATCCAGTTTCATTTTTCACTCCCATTCACACTGTCATACTGTAGGATGTGAGGAGGGGAAACAGCTGATTCTGATCAGCTCCTAGGCTTGAGTAATGGGATTCTAGGGAGAATCAAATTCACCTAGATGTCTCTCTAGCCCCTGAAAGTTAAAGTCAACCTATCTAAAATGAACCCCTTTCATCTTCCTCTCCCAGCTCCTTCCTCTCACCCCCAACTCCTCCTCCTGACTGCCATTCTGTGAGCAGGATCACCATTTTTCCAGTCATCTAGGCTCAAAACCTAGGGTCAGCTCTACCTCCTTTCCTCTTCTATGTGCCATCTTTTGGGAAGTCCTATAGAGCCTATTTCCATAGACTCACTCTCTGCCAGGCTCTCATTTCCATTCATATTCCTTAGCAACCAGCTAGACCAGACTTATTACCTCTAGCTAGGCTCCTGCAATGTTCTCCTCATGTGGCTTCTCCTCAACAGCCTCTCTGTGCTCTGTGCCACCTTGCATCCCTGCCAAATCAGCTTACAACACAGCTTCAAGCGCATCTTCCCTCCCTCAGATCCTCAATATCCCACGTTGTCTACTAATGCTAGCTAGTCTCCTCCCTGAGAATTCAGGGCCCTCCATGATCTGGTTCTAGTAGATGCTTTAAGGCTCACCTTCTGCCCTGTGTTATTGAGCTCTCTGCATGTGGGGCTCTGTGCTAGGTCCTAACTGCATGAGAGACCATGGAGGGAAGGCAAGGGTCACTGGAGCACACAATAAGGGATTTTAGCCCTACTCAGGAGTCTGATTAGGTTGAATCCCAAAACAGTTTTAGGAATTACACAGAAAGGCCTAGGATATTTGAAAGAATGAGAGTCAGGCTTTTCTTGCCTAGAAGAAAAGCTAGTGTCTGAATCACAGAGGAAAGGGACAAGTTAAAAATGGTAGAGAGGGTACAAGGCAACTAGCTTAAGAATGTGGGACTTAATTCTACGGGCAGTGGAAAACCATGGAAAGGTTTTAAGCAGGGGTGTGGAATGATCAGATTTGCCTTTTAAGAAGTTCTCTCTAGCTGCTGTATGCATTTGCTATTGGTTACCTTTTTTTTTTTCCCAAAAGCTTTCTTTCACTAAAAATTTTAACCCTACATTAATTTGTTTAAATCTCCAGGTAAGTTGGGAATTCCAACACTTATTTTTCAAAAGACAATTTCATATAATAGCCCTCTTGCTTGCCCTCTGTTCTTTAGGACACAATCTGGGAAATGCTGACTTAAATAATTTCCTCTGTCTGGGATGCCTCTTTGCCCATTTTCCTGTTGAATTCCAGCCCATCTTGCCAGACCTTGATCCAAGCCATCTTTCTAGTCCTGGCTCAGATGTCAAACCTAGAGTCAGCTTTCTTCATCCCTAAGCCAAGGTTTCTTTCAGATCTTAAAATGCTACCATTCTAGGCTATCAGAAACTTCTGTCTTTTTTGAACCCCTATAGTGCCTGGTTGATAAATGTCTTGGGCACTCATCAGACTACCTTGTCTTTGAGCAGATGTATGTGTGTGTCTTCATTCCCTTTTGAAGGCAAGGTTTAGAGGTTATTAGTTTCTATGTCTTTCTCACATTCCCCATGTCTTTTCCTAATGTTGGGAAAGTGCCTTGTCCAGAGGAGAAGCTTGATTGATGTTTCATTAATTCTCATCCCTTTAGAAGCCACACTCGCACTATTCTAGGCCACTTATAAATGCAGCTCCTTTGTATCTTTGGCAGCACTGCAGCCCTCCCAGCTTTGTCTGGGCATCTGTCAGGGTTCACTGCCTGCAGGTGTGCTGGAAGGAAGACAACCAGGGAGAGCTCTCCCGTACTCAGTGCTCAGTTCACTAGGATCCAGAAAGCCCTGGCACCCTCCTCTCACCCACAGTATCCTTTTCTCCCCCAGATGGAAGCTCTGGAATGCCTCCTTCAGGGACTTCTGGAAAGCACAGATCAAGCCAGGCACTGAAGTGTGCATTCATGTCTCCTCTTAGTGCTCTCTCAGTTTCCCAGTTGGTGAGCCGGGGAAGCAAAGGTCTGTTTCCTGTTGTGTCTATGGTGTTTTCTCAGCCTGCACCTAAGAATAGGCTTTCTTTGGTCTGAAGGGCATGGCAGCTGTGTTTCCCCTTTTGTGACAATGTGTGTGTGGTGAAGGCAAGTGGGGAGTAATGGCTTTTGTCAGGAGTTTGTCCTCCCCCACGTCACTGTCAGCTCGCCTTGCTGGGGCTTGTTCCCCTCACTCCTTGTGGGAAGGACTGTCAAAGGATGTCAAGATGAATTCGCTGCTCCTACTTGCGCCTTTTCTTTCTCTCTCTCTCTCGCCCCCTCTTCTCTTTTGATTCTGTCTTGATGTCATCTCTTCAAAGTATACTACCTGTAAAATATTGATTCACAGCAGGCTGCATCTGCCAGGATCAGATTTCTCCTCTTCTGGCAGCGGTAATAAACGACCACAGACACAGCAGACCTGGTGCCAGCTTCATCGCCGCCTCACACACACATCCGTCTGTCTTTTGCCTGACTCTACATAATGAAACAGCATCCAGGGACATTTCAGAAGTACGGAGACCAAGTAGCAAACCAGTGGGGACATAAAAGAGCCAGGGGTGCCTGCAAACAAAGGATGTAACAGGTCTCACCCCAAGCAGCAGATGAATCAGAAGCTCCCTCATTTCCTGATGGCAACTGGAAAAATAGGAAAGGAAACAAAGCCTCCAGTTAACTGCCAACAGTGTAATCGCAGTGGTCCTCCGCTTCCTTTTCTTCCTCCTTTCCCTCAGTCATCTTGAGCCACTTTGTAGAATAGTACCTTGAAGCATTCATAACTCATGAGCCCTGCTGGGCATATCATAACTAGAGGAAGAGCTTATGTAATAGGGGGGACATGAATTTTGTTTGCATAGGAACCAGAGAATCAATAGAGTCTCAGGGTGATAAAGAGCTTGGACTCTGGAGCCAGAGCTGGGTCGGGTACATGGCTTTGCCACTTACCATCCATGTGACTTAGGGAAAGTCACTAAACATACCTATGTCTCAGTTTCCTTGTTGGTATAATGTCTTGCTAGTATGACGAAGTGAATTTATAGTCATAAGGCATTTAGAACACTGCTTGGCACATAGCACTATTAAAATGCTTACTAAATAGACACATACAATTTCCCTGATGGCAGTCAAAAGTCCTAGTTAATGGTAACAGTGTGGACATTCCTCTTCCTTTTTGGGGGATTGAAACTAATCCTCATGGAAGTGCTCCTGGGCAGATAGGCAGCTGGGACATGAGTAACCCTCGGAGGAGCCCAAATATTCTCCTCCTGCCTTGTTTGCAAATGTGCGCTGTTCAAAGGTGTCCCACTCTCAGAGAAGGTGACTCTTTATTCAGAAGCTCAGCAGTTGTGGGAAGAGTTTTCTGAACCTCAGTGGTGTGTGTCTCTGTCATTCACATGCTGGCTGGAAGAGGAAATATTAAAAAGAGAAGCGGCCATCCGAAGTCAGTAAATCCGTCATCAGAGATGACAGCTGTGGGTTTGCATTCTTGTTTTACTGCGACTTTGAGCAAGTTGGTGAAGGTGGTGGTGGCGTCCAGCTCTGGCCTGTGAAGAGTTATGATTTTCGACTGTGTTAAGCTACTGAAGGGACCCTACCACTTAGCACCCTCCGGGGAGCCTTCCCTTTTGCAGTAGAGGGAAATTTACCCCTTGTGACCAACTGTTAAGCTTCCTTTGAAGCCTCTTTTAATTCAGACTTGGTTCAGCTCATGATGGCTTCAGAGTCAGGGGGGAAAACATTTACGATATGACAAACTAGCAACCTGTATTTTTTACGTACTCTTAGAGAAATCATGGGTCTTTTATACTCGTGTTCTTTTGCTTTTTGTTGGGAGAGATGTCCTTTGAGACCCATCAGTTCCTCACTTTATATTCTTTCTCCTCTTCAAGCCTCAAAGCCTCCCTGCACAGTAGCAGGCTTCCCTTTGATGAGGCAGGCTGGAGGAAGTTTCATCTGAAGCCTGCCAGAGTCAATGGTCTGTGGTCGAAAGGGGGACTGCTGAGTCAAGTGAAGCAGACATCCCTTCACCATGGGGTTTCATTTCTTCAGAATGAGGAGGCTTATTTTCATTCCCCCAAAGGCCTTAAAGGACACTATGATCTCATGGGCTTCGTGTGGGCCCAATGTGCCCAGTTTCTCACCTCGATCGACATGCTCCATAGAACTGTCTTGTTCTTCTTTTTGCAGGGGTCCTAAATTATTATTTCTGTCTTTTCACATTTACAGCAGGAAGTTAGCACTGTGCAAAGAATCTCTGGATATCCAATGGTGGGATTGTGGGAGACTTCAGACTATCTGAACACAAAGAGTAATAAATGAGGTGTCAGCAGGAAGACATAAGGGCTAAATCTTGAACCAGAGCCAAGCTCTGCAAAGGCATATGGAGATTGACTGTCCCCTATACAGAGGGGAGATTAAGGGGGTGCTATTTGGAAACCATGTGTAGGAGCACAGTGGCATGATTAACTACCTAGGCCTGGAGCTCAGTTCTGCAATTGTATGGCCTTAGGCAAAATGACTTTACCTCTCTGTGTCTCCAGATCCTCATCTTCACAATGGGGTGTTATGAGGATGGAACGGGATAATTCATATAAAGTGCTTAGTACAGAGACTGGCACATAGTAAGACTCAGATTAGTGTTAGCAGCCTGTTTTTATAAAAAAGTATTGTAGAGTAGGAATTCCTGAAGATATAATCCCTTGAGACCACCATGGGAAATCCATGGAAAAGAGCTCTTTTAAAAGCCAATTAATAAATAATTCAAAATTTACCCTTGGTTTTTATTCATCAAGCAAAATTGTCTGCATTCTTCTTCCTAGTTACAGTCTCTAGCAAGCAGTAAGCATTCAATAAATACTTATTGAATAAACGAATAGCAGTCTTACAGGTACACCTGTGAGCTCAGTGATCATCAGTAGCTTAAGAAAATTTACCATCAGGTCCACTAATTACAACTTTATTGTTCCTTTCAATTACAAAGAATCTTTCTGTTGTTTACTTTGTTCTTTTACACCTTTGGGGGTTGGGAATCTGTGTTAATTTGCATGACTGTGTTAACCTAAACCATGTCATCAAGTGTTTCCTGTGCATTAATTTAACTAATATAGAATCTTCCATATTTCACTAAGTGGTGCAGTTTAGTCACTACCATTATGATCTGAAAAAGAACAAAATAGACTAGAACAATATAGTGTTATAAGTGTTCAGACAGATATAACTAGAAGCTTCAATGGAAATACAAGGGAAGAGAGCTTTATCCACCTTGTGACTGTGTGTGTGGGGATGGAAGGAATTCAGAGACAGAGTCTCGCTCTTGGCATCCACGTGGGAGTGCAATGGCATGATCTCGGCTCACTGCAACCTCTGCCTCCCAGGTTCAAGTGATTCTCCTGCCTTAGCCTCCTAAGTAGCTGAGACCACAGGTGTGCACCACCACGCCTGGCTAATTTTTTGTGCTTTTTAGTAGAGATGGGGTTTCACCAGGTTGGCCAGACTGATCTTGAACTCCTGACCTCAGGTGATCCACCCGCCTTGGCCTCCCAAAGTGCTGCAATTATAGGCATGAGCCACCGCACCTGGCCGAGTCTCTTTAACTTTTAGAAGCAATCTGGTTCTGTGATTTTCTTACTGGAACGTCAGCGAAAATTTGGAAAGCAGAGTGATGGGGAAAAATGAGTCTTTTATGACTAACTAAAGTTCTAGCTTCTGGTGGCAGGAATTAACCAAAGAAGGTAAAGATATTGTGTAGGGCATTTTTCTCATAGCTTCTATTTTGAGAGAAACAGAGAGAGTGCTTTATTTTATACTGACTGACTAATATCTGTCAAAGAACAATGCCAAGAGTTAAATAAAAATATCACTTGATCTCTTTTATTAATAACATCGAGATAGGACACAGAGTGCTTGCCATATTACTTAGGAAATTGCTCAGATAACAAAAGCCCTTTTACTTCATTAGTAAGCATGGACAAGGGTATTTGAGTCACAGGGAAGCTAGTTCAGGTAATGGCCCAGCATCTGCAATGGTAAAAAGAAATGATGAAGGATTGGAAAGCAAAGGGAAAACTCATCTGAAGAAGAGAGAGAATCAGTAATGTTAGCTAGCATGTTTACTGGTCTGTAAAATGAGGGGTTGGGGGCTGGAATTAGTCCAAGGTTCTTGCCAGCTTTGGCACATCATGGTCCTATGGATTCACGACGGAGCAGACAGGTGATAGAGGCAACTGCCTGGCTTATCAATTAAAACTTAACTATGCTTTTCTTTCCAAGAATTGAAGGCTCCATAAACAATGTTCCAACTTACAGGAACTTTTAACATTGATCATAAAAATATAACAAAATACAGGCGAAAATGACAGACAACAAAAGAAATGCCATACCATCAAACTTGAACACATATGCCATTTTCTCTGGGACTGAGATATTTTAAAAGTGTATTAAATCTTTGGGATATTGAATAACATTTAGTATGCCATTTCTTGTTGTACTAAAGAGTATCCACTAAAAGAGTGGATAATTTTTCTGGAAACTTCAATAACTTATAGTCATGGTGCAGCTTTGGTAATGAGAAATGGCTTCAAAGTGAAAAATAAGATAAGTACATGTCATGGTTCCTGAAAATCATTATGTTCAGTTGAACACTTTGAAAGAGAGAGATGTTCACCTAATTCTGTGTTTCCCACCCATAGCGTGACACTGGAAAGTGATCACCCAATTGTGAACCTCATTACCCAGCCCCTTGCCTCTTGCTAGGATCGTGTGACTATTCTTGCCAGTGGCCTATTAGTGGGAGGGAACATACATCATTTATTGGCCTAGAATGTAAGAATAGAATATGGCTTCATCACAGTCTGTACTCTTTTGACCAGATGTAGAGGACTCAGCAGCCCTAGGGGATGGCAGAACCCTAGGATGGACGAAGCCTGAATCCGTCGGCTTGAAGAAAATCTGCCCATCTACCAGAAACCCTGCATAGTGCTGGTAAATGAAAAAGAAAGAAACTTCTATTGAACTTTTGAGGGTTTATTTGCTATAACAATCATCCGATTGATGTAGATGCCAAATCCCTGTCTTGTACAAGATGGTAAATTAGATCATTAGAGAGAAACACATACTATGACTTATGAATGATGGAGGCTATTGGAAAACCTGACATTTCTTGTGGCCTATTTTTTTTTTTTTTTTTTTTTTTTGAGACGGAGTCTCGCTCTGTCGCCCAGGCTGGAGTGCAGTGGCGGGATCTCGGCTCACCGCACGCCCCGCCTCCCGGGTTCACGCCATTCTCCTGCCTCAGCCTCCCCAGTAGCTGGGACTACAGGCGCCCGCCACCTCGCCCGGCTAATTTTTTTGTATTTTTAGTAGAGACGGGGTTTTACCATGTTAATCAGGATGGTCTCAATCTCCTGACCTCGTGATCCGCCCGCCTCGGACTGCCAAAGTGCTGGGATTACAGGCGTGAGCCACCTTGCCGGGCCCCTGTGGCCTATTAAGAAAGAGGAATCAGTAATCCTTTTTTTGTGGTGGTAAGCTCTTATAAAATGACTGGGGTGCTTCAGTTTTCTTCTTGTCTAAGTCAGTGTGGGACATTTTGCTTCTGCCATTCAGAAACATCGAAGTGTTGTTTGTTTGTTTGTTTGTTTTTGAGTTGGAGTCTCTGTCACCCAGGCTAGAGTGCAGTGGCACAATCTTAGCTCACTGCAACCTCTGCCTCCCAGGTTCAAGCAATTCTTCTGACTCAGCCTCCAGAGTAGGTGGGACTACAGGCACGCGCCACCACACCTAAGTTTTTTGTATTTTTAGTAGAGAAGGGGTTTTGCCATGTTGGCCAGGCTGGCTCTTGAACTCAAGTTATCTGCCCACCTTGGTCTCCCAAAGTGCTAGGATTACAGGTGTGAGCTACTGTGCCTGGCCAAAGAGTTGTTTCTTAATGATTGCCAGCTTGATTTCAGAGAGAGACACAAGTTTCTGACTTTTGTTTGGCTGTACTTGATGAAAAGGGGTAAGTATGACTGGTACATAGTGGGCCAAAAAAAAAAAAAAAAGGTTAATACCCAGGAAATATAAAATGCCATTCATTTTTATACTTTATAAAACTAAAAAATGAGCCATAGGATATTCAACTGTCAATAAACACATTACATGTTTTGTTATTGCTAGTGTTACAAAAACACAATGGACCAAATAACATGTGCAATAGATATACCTGCTAGTCAAAGGAATTTTCTGTTAAGACCAAATCTCCCCCTTTTGATTGGTACTCACTATTCTTTACAGCTGCTTGCAGCCAGTACACTCTAAAGACTGAGCTAAAATAAACCCAGTAGACAAACATTCTCATGAATCTTAAAGGCAGAAGTCTATATTCTTGTGAAGTTATATAAACAGCACCATTTTAAAAATTAGTAGAAAATCGATCATAACTAATGGGCATGGGAAAATTGATCACTATGAAAAAATTTGTGTGGTAAAACAGTTAAATTAGTGTGATGAAAAGATGGAGGAAAAAGGCAATTACAGCCAGGATTGTTATAGTCTTGTCAATATATTAAATATACCAGCTAGTTTGAACAAAACTAATAATATCTCTCCTAAGGCATAGATGAATGTTTCCAGACACATCTGTGCTCAGAACACATCAATGAGCCCTACTCTCTTTCTCTGGGATGAGTTTTTTTCTATGTAATTTAGAGAAAGACTTCATCAGTCAATGCCTGCTTCACTCAACTTCTTGTTTGTGTGAAAAAGATTAACTATGAAATCATTTTTTGAAAGTCTCTAGAGCAACTCAGTACACATTATAGTAGACTCTTAAAATTTTATTTTCATTTTCTTTCTTAAAAATTGGGGATATTTAGAAATAAGTGTCACCAAGGCCAGGACTAGAGGGAGGGGGTGAAGTGCTGAGGATGCAAAATTAAAGGAATAGTTCACTCTCGCCCTGCATGTGCATGCCCCGGAGGTTGGGCTCCTCTTTAAATCTGGCACCCTAGACCCTTCACACACCTCATCCTAGTACCATTCCTGAGTTCCACAGATAAACTAGTGTGAAAGGTGCACATCTGAGGTGTACAGAGCAACCTGTAATTGCTCAAACTGAGTTTCTGTCTAGGTTTGGGTATTTGGTAGTAACTTCCTAATGAGAAATGCAGGAAAATCAGCTGCAATGTCAAGGTGAGTTCCTGCTGAGCAAATGACACCAGGGAATAAAAGCTCCTCTTTTGGTCTTTGCTTGAATAATAATAATAATAAAAAAGATCTATAATTGGATTTCCTTAAAGACTCAGAGAACTAACATCTTTATAACTTTTCAGATTGAAAGGTAGTCCTTTTGAATTCTATTAACTTTGCAGCCTACGTTTTTTAGAAAGTAAGATTATGTCGCTTCTGAAGGAAACCAGGAACAATGAACTGAGCAATATTTGCATTCGCAAGTTATTCTGTGTTGGCAGATTGTCATCTTTTGTAGAAATATCGCAATTTTTCAAAAGGACCACTTTGAAGATGAAGAATTATATTTAATCATTTTTTGGGGTTGTTAACAAAAAAGTCATTTTGAATGCCCACTTTGACAATCAAAGATCTCATTGCCCTCTAGTATGGAGCAGCCCACTTCAGGTAACCACACTGCAACCAAGGGCACCATCCCCCTCTCATCTTTAACTCTGGGAGAACAATAGTCCCCATTCACATCTCTGCCACTTAGGTTTCTAAAGTGTTCCTTTTAGCAGAGAAGTGAGAATTTGGTTATCTAGGAAATTTTAGTAGCCAGACATTTAAAGAAATAGCAGCTAATAGTTATAGTAGAAAGAGTAGTTTGCAAACTTCATGGACAGACCAGAATATTTTGCTTTTATAATCTTATAATCTCCTATCTTAGTTTAAAATTCTAAGCCTCAGTGACCTGTTAGAGGTGAGAAAGAGTTGACTGTACTTGGTCACTCATGAGAAAACAAAGTCTCTGAAAAAGCTGCTCTTAGTACTTACAGAAGTTTCAAGGAATCAAGATTGACAGACTGAGATTTCATCTTTAGAAAACTAGATTTTCACATCATATGAAAGATGGTGGCTGTTTTCATACCTATGTAATTAGACATAGCAATTTTGTAGTCTAGGAAGGGCTGAGCAGGCAATCCTAAATGCAACTGCTATATTGAATGCATGACGTCTACAGGATAGGATAAAATCCTACTCCGTGTTTGCTTCTCCTGCTCCTTTAAAATTTAGGCTATGGGGAGAATCTTCAACTGCCCTTGGATGGAAGACCCCATAATTTTTATACTCAGTCTCAGGTAAAAGATTGGTATATGAGCACTTTAAGTAAAAACAAAGTCTTGATTCAGAAATTAGAGTTTCCGGCACAAATATTAAACTATTGCTTTAATCCTTTTTTAAAGCTAAGACTTACTTATTTCCTGAACCCCCACTCCCATGCTAAGACCTATAGTTAACTTATTTCATTCCCCATTGACTAGCTGCTTTTCATTTGCACTACGGTCAAAACTAGGGGACAGAAGAGAGGTGAGGGGAGAGGGTAGTTTCCTGGTTCTTCAGAGTCCCATCACAGGGGGCTTCTCTCCTGGGGTTCCTTTACAGGGGTAAAGTGGCTGTAACCTCTTCTGGGCTCCGGGGCAGTGGTGGGTCATCTCCAGTCTCTTCCTTTTGGAGTGTAGGACCCAAGAGAGTCTTGCTCCCTCGTGGCTCTCCTTCAGGCTCTCTTGCTGCAGGCCGACCCAGGGAACTGCTCACCCTGCCACCATGTCATGTATGGCAGGCAAGGCTCTCCGTGGCTCTTTTGCAGGGAATACTCTCATTAGGCCTGAGGTGAAGGGTTGTACCCCCACTGCAAGGGATCCTCATACAAAAGGTAGTTAATAGACAATAGCTCTCTCCAAAAGAATCTCTTCACAAAGTCCTCTGTCCCTTCTTTCCAGCATTGGCCCCTCTGTGTCCTGTGTATCATAACCTCTCTCACACTCACGTTAGGAACTCCTGCATTAGTGCCACTGTCAAAACTGAGGCCAGAGGCGCCCCATGTTAACATCAGGCTATGTAATGAAGTGGAATCATTGAGAGATTTTTTATTAAACAAACATAGTTTAATAAAACTTCTAGTGATTTAATGATCTTTGTTGGCTTAATATATTTGGTAACAATTCTTCACTGAAGCCTGCCTTGTCCCAGATACGGTACAGCTCACATTCAGTGGGATTATCCATCTGTAGTGTACCAATCCTCACTGATGTCCTTTCACACAAACATCCACTCACTCATCCTCTCAAGTGCAGAGACACTTGCTCCCTATTCAACTGGGCCTAGCCAGGACACGGGTATTCCTTCCCAGTCTTCCCCTGGCTGATTTTAGGCAACTGTGCCCAGCTCCTCAAAGAAAAAATAGAGGTGCTTTCTAAATGTCTGTTTGTTTTAAATGGCAACAAATACATTTCTTTATTGTACACTACATTAAATCTGTAATTCACATAAAACGACTTCATAACCTATTGGACTAATACCCTTTCTTCCTTGACACACATCCACAACATCCAAACCTGGCCCTTCCTTTTATCCTTTTTTTTTTTTTATTTTTTGAGACAGTCTCGCTGTGTCACCATGCTGGAGTGCAGTGCTGTGATCTCAGCTCACTGCAACCTCCGCCTCCCGGGTTCTCCTGCCTCAGCCTCCCAGGTAGCTGGGACTACAGGCGCACACGACCACACCCAGCTAATTTTTGTATTTTTAGTAGAGACGGGGTTTCACCATGTTGGCCACGATGGTCTCGATCTCTTGACCTTGTGATCCACCCGCCTCAGCCTCCCAAAGTGCTGGGATTACAGGTGTGAGCCACCACTCCTGACCCCTTCACCCTCTTTCTTCTTGTTCACACCCCCACCTCACCCTCTACACATACATGGACATGCAATTTAGCCTCCCCAGGAAGGGGTCTTGTCAAGCATTAGGAACATAAATACCAAGGGTAGATCACCAAAAGCTGCCACACACAGGCCTAGAAAAGCAACTCAATTTTGCCCTGGCCCCGCTGCAGGCTTCCTCCCCTTCTGGTGGTCTGTGAGTATCTTGGACCTTCAGAAGGAACTCAGGTGTGTGGCACAAAAGCATTATAATCTTGGAAGCCTGGTAGGACTATAACAATAGCCAACACCTTTCGGTGTATGTTCCTCCTTTCTTCCCTTAGTTTTGGAGCAATATGTTGCAAGGCAGGACTCAGGGAGTGTGTTGGGGCTGAGAGAAGAAACTGGAAGTTGGCTGTTCCAAGAGTGTTCTTGAATGGAGATATTCAGCCTGCAGTTAGGGTTTCTTGCTAAGTTGTTCCTCTCATTTCAGCAGAGTGGGAAGTTGATATGCACCACAAAGACACAAGAAGAGAAGGAAGCCTAAGCATAGAAGAAAATTTTAAACAAAATAGAATTCACCATGTAAGTATTCAGATCACATGTATTTTGTGCATGAAACCTTTAATGAGGGCAAAAATCTTACTTAAGCAAAATATTTGCCTTGAAAGGAAAGGATGAACAACCTAAATGGAGCAATTCCCTGTAAATTTCTGTTCTTTACTATAGACAATTCAACTCAACTGATTTTACTGAATATCTGCTTGATGCTGTCCATGGAGACATCAATTTAAACAGGATCCAAGCCTTGCCTTCCAGGAGCTTATAGTAAGAAAGATATTAACTGGTATTTGGTAGTTAACCAGTTATTGCTTTAAATCAAAATTGATTTCTGGACTAGTAATGAAAGTACCAGTTTTCTATTATGTGACGATCATCACAAATCATCATGAAGATCATGATATTTCTAATTTTTCTTAATTCCTCCTACTCAACAACCCAAAGGATGTTTAATAGCACAATGGCGTCTAAAACCAAAAGCCATATAGTCTACTCTTTTATTCATGAGACAGGACTAAAAATTTACCTGAGAATGTACATGTTCCCTCTTGGCAGGTGCTCTTTTCTACTATTATCTTCTAATTCTAACAGGATGCTTTCTGTCTCTGTGATTTAAATAAAAGTTATTTCTTAAATTGCATCCTGAAGGCTTATTCCTTCACTTACTTGGTGAACCTAGTTTCATGGCCTATCATGCAACTTCATTATCCATTCTATAACTGAGCTTATTGCTATGCGCTCTCAAGCTTGTCAATCTTGTAGATTAGGTATAGACCAAATTCATCTTTTCTCCAGTATGCAGTGTTTTACAATGAGCTAGCACCTTGTATTCCAGTTAAGTGAGACTGTTATTGTCTCGTGCTTTTTTACCTCCGTGCTCTTTCTCTTTCCTCCTTCTTTTCTTTTCTTTCTTTTTTTTTTTTAAATCATGTTTCCACTAGAAACTTTTGCTGCTTGATTATCTTAAAAAGTCATGTTGTACAATCACCCAATCCTGTTTAAAACAGCACTCAGGCTGGTTATGTAGATGATCTTGGATTAGCCCTTGTTGCACAGGGTTGATTTACCACTGGATTCCTTGGAATCCACTTTCGTCAGTCTCAGAATTCTGCAACTGATTGTAGGGCTTCTAGAAGATTATCCATCAGACCAGTCTCATCACCCCCTCTGTTTATATCAATGAATTGTTTCTTTTTCTTCTGGTATTCTAACTTTTCTTGTTCGGCTTTCTCTTTTCCAAGCTTTGCCTTCCTAGTCTTCTCTTCCATTTCTCTTCTCTTACTGTTTTCTTTCACTGCTTCTAAAAACAAAGTTCAGAAGTTACTGAGATCACCAAGTTGTGTTTGTCATTGATGCTGTTTACTGCATTTGGTTGTCTGTCTCATTTTGGGTATGTAGTAAAATTGTTCCTCCCTTTCCCTGAGCTCAAGCATGATTATGGGACAATTTTAATTTGCAAAATGTGAGTGGAAGTGACATGTGTCACTTTCATATATAAACTTTATGAGTTGACATATGCTTTGCTACAGTCTTTTCCCTCTGCCATGCAACCAGTGATATTTCAGATAGTGACTGATCCATCAACCTGGATTGCAGGTAAGAATGATGATGATGTGGAATTGAGCCCCCAGTCAGTCTGCAAAAGATGTGTAATACGAACAAAAAGTAAATCTTTGTTTTGAAGCCATTGAGAGTATAAAGTTACTTGTTATTACAGCAAAACCTAATATATTCTAACTGATAATGCTCATACATGATGCTTATGTCTCTTTTTATTCAATTCACCTTAAAAATGTGTATCAATATTCAATCCAGTTGAGCATTCAGATGACTGCAGCACCAGCCAATATCTGACTGCAACCCCAAGAGGGACTCCAAGGGAGAGCTAAGAAGGAAAGCAAGTCTTTTTGTCACCTATTTTCTCAATGGCCATGGAAATTCTTCTTAGTCACTTATACATAAGGAATGTGTGCAAGTCAGAGGTGAATAAGACACACCTTCCTTGGCCTACTTCTTAAAAGGTGGTGTGATGGTTAGTTTTAGGTGGCAACTTGACTGGATTAAAGGATACCCAGATAGCTGGTAAAGCATTATTCCTGTATGTGTCTGTGAGGATGTTTGCAAAAGTGACTGGCATTTGAATCACTGGACTAAGTAAGGAGGACACACCCCCTACCCAGTGTGGATAGGCACTATCCAATCAGCTAAGGACCCAGATAGAACAAAAAGGCAGAGGAAAGGCTAATTCTCTCTCTTTTGGAGCTGGGACATCCTTCTTCTCCTGCTCTTGAACATTAGAACTTCAGATTCTCTGGCCTTTGAACTCCGGGACTTACACAGTTGTTCCCCAGGTTCTCAGGCCTTTGGCCTGGGCTGAGAATTACACCATTGGGTTCCTTGGTTCTGAGGCCTTTGGACTTGGACTGAGCCACACTACCAGCCTCTCAGGTTCTGCAGCTTGCAGATGGCCTATTGTGGGATTTCTCAGCCCCCATAATCACATGAGCAAATTTCTCTAATAAACCTCTTGTCGTCTCTCTCTCTTTCTGTCTATATCCTACCAGTTCTGTGTCTCTGGAGAACCCTGACTAATATAGCTGGTATTCCCAAGGTTCTGCCCTTGACCCTTTCCTTTTCTCTTTAATTCTCCCTGGAAAGTCTCATACTGCATTATGATTTCAACCACAAAATATATGTCTATGACTCCTGTATTTATATTTCTAGTCTTAGGGAGACCAGCCTGCCTAGCTGAGCCTTTCCTAATTTTCTGACCTACAATATCATGAACAAAATAAAATGGTGATTTTAAGCCACTAAGTTTTGGCTGACTTTTCCACTAACTTTTTTGGTGCAAACTTACATTTGAAGTCATTCACTTTGGAGTAATTTGTTATACAGTGATAGTAACCACAGCAGTGAATTCCCTTTACTGCTCCTCTTGATCCTTCTCCCATTAGACTGCAACCCAGAGGCTGGCAGCCTCCTTTGTCCTTATCCCACCGCCCTTTACCCAGGGACCCCATCCTGGTCTTGACCACAGAGTCCCCATACTTGCTAAGATTATGATTCAGAATAGTCTAGACGACCTCTCAAGTGTGGATGAACCTAATCAGTCCTTTGTGTTTTCAGAGCTGTTCTTAGTAGTGATGTGCAATTTTGCTTTCCTTTTCAGGCTATTCATATGAAAAAAGGAGGGGTATTGGTATAGGGCAGACTCTATATGTTCTTTTTCCAACTTTTCCTTGACTCTGATGATAAAAAGCTTCTTTAGAAAAGGTTATAAGAATCCACATACTTGCTTCAGATTTAGGAACATGGCAGCATGCCATTGTTGTGGATCGATTAGTTTGACTTGGCAAAGTATCAATGCTGGTAAATAGTAGGAAATGATGTTGTCTGGATAGGCTGGGGCCAGGATGTGAAGGACTGTGAATGCCAGACTAAGGCACTTCAGCTTCATCCTGTGTGTGGTGGGGAGACATAATTTTCTAAATGTATGAAGCCATGATTATGAAAATGCAGAACCAGACTTAGTGTGCTGGGTGGGGCAGATTCTAAGCGTAACAACACTGGGGTCATGAGACTATTGCAGTAGTCCAGGTATCAAGAGAGAGGTGAAGGGAATCTGCAGTAATACCTGGCAACAGGATGGAGAGGGAGGCACAAATGTGAGGGACACCCAGAAGGACTAAGAGGCCCTTTTGGTCACCCACATTAATATATGGGCAGGCAGTGGTAGAGAAGAGACCCAGCATGACACCTCCTCAGTATATATAATTATTCATACAACTATTCGTGCAGTGTGTACCATGTGCTGAGAGCTTTATATAGACATTTGTAGCAACCCTTACAATCATCTTGGATGCAGATACTTTCAATACTGCCATTTTATGGAAGAAGCAACTGAGGCATAGAGTTTAATGGCCAAAATTATACAGCTAATAAGCAGTTCAGCCAGGATTTGAACCCAGGTGATTCACCTTCAGAGTTGACGGTTTTCTCCAATATTCTCTATTTCCTCTATTTATTTTCAGAACTCCCAGTCTTTTTTATTTTAGTCTGATCACACAAGTAGGGCTTAATAAAACATTATTTGAAGCTGAACCTCATTTTTCAATTGCTAAATAAGTGACCATCCTTCCCTGACCAAGGAAATAAATCAATTGTATTCTATGTCTATGGAAACATTTTCTGAAATAGGGTCTGTGTGGGTCAGCCAAGAACATATTAAGTGCTATAACAATATCATTACCAACTCTTCCACCACTGTGATTCTGTATTGCTAGATATTTGCAACAATAATTGCTCTATAAATTTGTATAGGAAATTTGCTCAAGAAAGAGAGGGAGAGGGAGAGGGATGGGGAGAGGGAGAGAGGGAGAGAGGGGGAGAGGGAGAGAGGGGGAGGGGGGAGAGGGAGAGAGGGAGAGAGGGGGAGAGGGAGAGAGGGAGAGAGGGAAAGAGGGGGAGAGGGAGAGAGAGACTCAAAAGATGTGGCTTCCGTAGAGTTTTTAATATGTAGTGCAAACTTACATTTCAAGGTGACCTATTCCAATAATAGAAATATAGAAACATCATTCATGAAAAAGATGATCAAAAGTATGACTACAGTCAGAAACAACCTGAAAACTACATTGTTAAATATAATATAATGAATTACATTTCTATTGTTTCCTGAAATTTGTGAGATGCAATCCAATAAACGAAAGCACCTTAGTGATTAAAATGTATGTTTTGTTGGGGGTGGAAACAGGAAAGAAATGAATTTTGGAAATGATTATTACTGCCTTACATATGCATGTTGCCTTTGCTGCAGGGACCTTCCCACACTTCAAGAATGACTTATCAAACATGCATTAATCCACCCAACATCCACAGAGAATAAATGAGAGATAAACACTGTTTATCAGTAAGTTTTTGTTCTCTTGCAAAAAAAGAAGCCCAACCTTGGCAACTAAAAGGATATAGAATTGCTGTGACAATCTCTGTAAGCTCATTGACTGTGGATGCAGTTATAACCTCTGAACTGAACATGCCAGATTCAATGGGCATTTGGATAAACTGGGAGGTGGGGGGAGTGAGCCTGCCTGATTTCTTCCCCCCCCTTCCCTCCTTCCCTCCCTCTGTCTCTCCCTCCCACCATCTTTCCCTCCCTCCGTCTCTCCCTCCCACCATCTTTCCCTCCCTCCGTTTCTCCCTCCCATTCTCTCTCCCTTCCTCCTTCCCTCCCTTCCTTTCTTTTGTTCCCCCTCCTTCTTTCCTTCCATCTTTTCCTCCCTCCCATTCTTTCTCCCTTCCTCCTTCCCTTCCTCCCTTCCTTCCTTTTTTCTTCCTCTCTCTCTCTCTTTCCATCTATCCCTTTCTCTTTCTCCCCACCTCCCTTCTTTCCTTTGAAATTTTCTGAAATGATTCAAATTCTGAGAAAGCATTGAAAGGAAACCTAGTTCTTACTTTTTCTCTCTTTTCTTCCTTTTTACTTAATATGAAAACACAATTTTCTCATAGTAGTTCCTGATTTACATTTCTGCTCCATTGGTGGATTTCTCCCTTGGCATTCAGCAGCATCTCACTCCTAATAACTATTTATAGCCTCCCAGGGTTTCTGTGGCCCTAAGTATCACCGTTGAATTTATCAGAGTTCTTGCCTATCCTGATTGCTTAGGCGCGCCTGCTGTGGGATTTATAGCCTTGAAAATAAGTACCAAACACCTAGTGGCTTCTATACTTTTTAAAAAACCCCCAGTGTTTAGAGATTAGGTTGCTTCCCACCTTTTTCCCCCTTAGGAGGTCCACAGTAGCTGTTTCTATATGATGTTGAATCATCCAGGTGAAAAGTGAAAATTCTGTCAGTCTCCCGTTCTCAGCTGTAGTTTAATGCAAGAGACATTAGTGTGGTTGTCACAATGAAAACAAGATTGGGAGGAGAAGCAGCTAGATCTCTGCCTCCCAGGTCCTCATGTCTCTCATCCGGAATTACTGGGTCCCTTTATTGCAATATCAACACTGCGCGACTGAAAGAAGTGCTGTCAGCTTTTGAGACCAAACTATAGGTACCAATGTCCTCTGTCCCCAAATCTGCTCCTCCTTACTCTGCTGCATACAGTTGGTCCTACCATATACCCCTTTATAGTCCTTTGCACAAAGGCTATTTCTTATGTGGATTTACCCCTTTACCATTCACAGATAATGAAGAATGAGAATTATCTCAGCTAAAGACCACCTGCATGTCTATGTTTGGCTGTATCTAAAAGCAAGGAAAACAATGAAGAATCAGAAGAAATTTCTGATGAAAGATGATGGATACATTGTCCATTCTAGGATGGTCTGCACCATTTCTAATGTGAAGAAGTGGGGTAATGAATGGATTAAGCTCCCAGGCCAAGTTAGTGAGTGGGGCTAATGTGACAACTTGATGGTTTCAGAAACACCAATGAGACCAACCCTGCTCTTCCTCATGCCCCCAGGACCATTAACTCTGGGCGTGGTCAGGTGGTGTGGCTAGAATAGTTTGGGAGGAACTTACTTCCATTTATCATCTGTGTTCCCTTTCAAAGGAAACACAAGCCTGCCCGGTCTTATTCGTAGGACCAAGAGGAAGTCTCTATCATTTTTCCTCTTGAGCTGATATAAGCCCAGAATAGGGTCTCTTCATTATAAGCTGGGCTGTCAAAAGTACTTGATATGATAGCCCCCGCCTTTGAAAGGAGGACCCTCAAGCAACATGACTAGGTTGTAATCTGGTGATTGCCTCCTGTGATTCAGACCTAATGTGGGCCTCCTATTATATTCAAGTTGATATGACTTAGCCTGCTACCCAGTTCATCCTTATTTATGTTTGTCTTAAATAGTAAATCTTGAGGTCCTTTCTGTCTTATTGGCCTCCCAGTCCTGGAGACACCATCATATTTCTCTGGGCATGTTCTTGCTATTTTGAGTATAGACTTTAGGCTCAGGCCACTGCATTGCTCACTAGAGGGCCAGCCTTATTCCTGGCACCTGGAGAATAAGAAGCTTGTCAGTGCCGCCTGGTGCAACAGTGGAAGTACCCTGACTCTATAGCCAACAGCTCACCGCAAGCTGGGATCCCTTTGTTTCTAGTTTCTAGAGAAACTTTGTCTTCCCCACTGTTTACTCTTTCCTTGGCTCAATATAGTCTCTATAGTCTTCTTAATGTTTTCTGTGTATTCTGCTTTGCTTCTGAATTTTGCCTACTTAAGCTTGTCTATAATACTCAGTGTAACCTATACTTGACTCTTGCTACCCAAGCTAACCTTTCCACCACCCCAAGCTCTTACCTTCCACTTTGCTTTTCTTGAGCTGTCCTGGCTCATTGTATTGATCCAATGTTCTGCATATAAACTATTTTCTCCTATTTCCGGACTCCACACACTTTGATGCTGATGTACTCTTTCTCCACATCTAGCAACCTCCATAGTATTTGTATCACTTGTTAATCATCATCAAAAGATGCTGGCACCTTCACATGGAAGCATAAATAATTGTGTGTGAAGTGTAGCTTCTTCACGGGTCTTGTAAAATGTGTTAGCACCAACACAGAGTTAAGCAACCATGCTCATCATACCAGTGGAAATTATATAGCAATTGGCTATTAGATACTTTTATTATTGGTATTTTAACTGCAAATTTGGTGCTGTAAAGTCATAGACACAGTCAACAAGAACCTACCCAAAGCTGGTTGCCTGGTTCACTCTTGCCTTGTGGACTAGACAATGACATCTAAATGACACCAAGAAGAAGAAAATGCTGTGCTTTGGACTATAAAAAGTAATTTACAATGATTTAACTTCTTATTTCTGTTCCAGTTGCAGTCATATTTCTAAGATGATTGATCTCTGTGTTTCATCTTCTTAGGTGGTAAGCCCCTATACTCTGGCTTTGTCTCCCCTGTCTTGAATACTTTTCCTGAAAGATCTGAGACATAGGAATAAGTAGTCATCACAAGCCTCCTACTCATTTAGAAAGAGTTTATAAGGAGTGACATGGAGGGCTTTTAGTGTTTCAGTTAATCTCTTCATCACTTTTTCTGCCATTTACAGGCAGGGTAAAAGGCTGGCAAGTGTCCCAACACCCATGTGGACACCAACATGTGGTCTGGAAGTTGGTCTCTTTAGGGAAGGGGAGCTGCAATAGGATGACCTCTTTCAACAGCCCCTGATATACTCTGAGCTGTCTGCCACTCTTCTGCTGCTTTTTTCCCCTCTTAGGACCACTGAAGGGATGGAAGAGTCAAAGAGCCTCATTGATGCCACCAACTGGTGGATGGTGACAGAAGTGCCACCCTTGCCAAATCATGGGCATGGCTGTCTGTCTTATACCCAGATCAAGTCAAATACATATGCAGGAGAGAAGGGAAGTTTGAAGAATTTTAAGAAAAAAATCTGAAAATTTAACTAGATACGTGAATTTACACACACACATCTGTTCCCACTTCCTGGAATGAGCTTCCCTCTCCTCCTTATCCTGCAGCTCTCAGCTCAATGCCACTTTCCCATGGAAGCTTCCCTCATCCAAGCCAAAGTCCCTGATTTCAGGATCCCATTGTGCCTCATTCCTCTTTTTAGTAGCACTAGTCACAACTGCAATTTTATATTTGCTTGTGTGTTTATTTGCTTAATGCTCCTTTCCCCGGTAGACTGTAAACTTCATGAGGCCAGGAATAAATCTACTTCAGACTACCATGAACTAGCTCCTAGCATGGTACTTGGCACATGCTAGGTGCACAACACACATTTGTTGACAGATTTAATGTAATTGGTTTGGGTATATCTTACCCAAAGAAACTGGAATAGAAATCTTTCTGCTGGGTCTTTATTGGGAATGGCACCAATAAGTGAAATGTGCAGATTATACGATGGGTTCTGGCTTCAAGCAAGACTAACAGACCTTGGATTTGGGGATCTCTCTGTGCAGCTGCTCTGTCTACATGTGACTAAATTCACTGATGCTGCTAATTTTGATGATTTCATTGCTTTTTTTGTGGAGGGGGAGTTTAAATTGATCAAATGATCATTTTGGCTTCAGCTAACCATAGTAAACTTTAATTAGTTCCCGGTATCCTCTGAGCCTCCTGGGATATTTCAACAGAATGATTAGGCTATTTGGAAATAACTTCTAACATTTCACATCTATTACGTTTTAAAAAGTCAGGAAGGTTGGAGTATTTTTTGATCTATGTGGAAGACAGGTAACATGACACTTTGAACTTTCTGCTCTCTCTGGCCGTTCATTCCTTTTGCTCTTTCTCTCTTCCCCTAAACCTTTCTGCCAAACACATCACACCTCCCTTTTGCAATGCCCAATTCCTGCTCTGTCCTTGAAAGCGTTCTTTGATCTTTCTTCTTTTTGTCAGCATCTCATTTTGATAGAGTTGCTCAATGAATTACTGCGTAACTGCTCTTATCAGAGTTTGAAATTATATCCCTAGAGATCTTTGTAGTTTTCTGGTTTCAATGAATATTCAAGTACTTGTCCAAGAAGTCTCTTTCCCACTGCTGACTAGTTTACATTTTTGTCTTATATAAGAACTCAATTCCAATTACACATGGCTGTACATTCATATATACACAGACACATATAGTGTAATTATTAGTGAGAAGGACACTATTCAGCTGTTGTCTATTAGCTTCATTTACTGATTGACAGAGTCTAAATTCATATATTCAGATTTCAATACAGTGGATGAGCTACTTCAAAAGGTGATGATTGCCTCATATTCATTCAGTAGATATTTATTGAGCACTCCTTAGGTATTAGGCACTTGTTAGTCACTGGAAGTATAATGTTGATCAGATATGATAAATGTCCATGCTATGCTTATAGGGTAATCAGAGAGAGAGAGTTTAATTCAATAATTACACTAGTAAATATAAAATTGTACTGATAAGGGCTATAAAGTAGAGGTAAGAGTGGTGCCCTGAAAAATCTGTAAGACAGGATTTTAATCTATCCAGGGATGTAAGAAATGGCTTCTCTGTAGAAATGATGGTTGAGGTAATCTGAAAGAAGAGTGGTTACTGAGTAGGGGTGCAAGGTGGGAATATGTTGTGAAAGGAGAGAAGGGCATGTGCAAAGGCTTGAGGCTGGAAGGAAATGTAATACATCTGAGGCCTGAACAACTGGATAGAAAAAGAAAAAAAATGCAGAGTATTGAATGCTTCAGAGAGCCACCAAGGAAGCCAGGATTTGCAGGATCAAGATCCAAGAGAGAAGGAAGGCATACTCAATGAGCCTCAGTCTTGCATCCACTTTTTACCTTTAAGCATTTGCTGGTCCAAGAAATGGAGAAAAGAGGCTATACAGAATGTGGTGACCCCGAAGCTTTCTGCAGTTTCACTGGGCTTAAAACATCAAAGTTGTGGTTTACAGTTGCCAAGGTAGCTAAGATTTGAGAAGCCAGAGAAGAGGCAACCACAGAGAAATGATCTGGAAATTCCTCATGCGTTTTTCTCCTTGAGGTATTTGCTGAATTCTACGTTATGAAGATGTAAGGAGAGATTCCGAGACCTAGTCAAAAAGCAGCATCTGGGAAGCTAAAGAGCTGAGCAGAGATGTGGGTAATCTCCTGGGTCTAGGGAAACAAATCTTAGGGTTCAGAACCCACCAGATTGAGGGAGACTGGTAAACAATCCAGGCTCTCAGTTGAGACTGCAATCAGGGCTAGACCCCAAGAGTAAATACACCCTAAAAGCAAGACTAAACCAGAAATACAGCTCTAACAAGGCTTGAAACTCCACTTAGACTGGATCGAGGTGGTCTGTCCATACTCTATTTACCTCTCAGGAAAAAATTAAGTCCTTTATGAAAAAAGACACTATCTAGAACCTCTTGGCTTTAAACACATATTGTCCAGGATTCAACAAAAAGTTCTAGGCGTGCCAAGAAACTAGACCAAATGTCCAAAAACAGAAAAAAACATAGAGACCTATCAGTGATCCAGATATTAAAATAATCAGAAACTTAAAATAGCTATAATTAATATGTTCAAGAAAGAACAGATGAAGAATTTCACAAGAGAATGGAAATATATTTTTTAAAAATCATGCTGACAACTAAAAAATGAAAAAAGTGAATAACTCGATAGGTGTGTTAGTTCAGATCCTCCTAGAATCTGACACCAAGACAGTAATAGACATGCAGGAGGTTTTCGGGGAAAAACACCTTTACAGGAGGGTGGAGAGAGCAGCAGGAGAAGGTAGAAAGAAGATTCAAGTCACAGTGCAGGTCTGATTCTCAGGGAAGGAGAGAGGAGGATTGACATAGTTTCAGAATTCAGCAGTGTTCCAAGAAAGTTTTGGCCAGGCTGATGGGGAGTTTTTAAGTCAAAGTTGCCCACTGAAGAATTCTTGCATTTTTCTGGAACTGGCCTGCTTTAGTAACCCACCGTGTGCAGTCACTGGCTCACAGGACGTGTGGCCTCTGTGTGAACACAATGGTAGATCTGGAGGTGCAGCAGCTGGGGCCATTGTCAGTTATGACTCCCACAACAGGAGATCTGACTGGTGTGTTTTCATGGCCACTTCATTCACCCTTTGTGTCACACAGATCTACTTTCCATATGGGTTTAGGGAGCCACTCCTCCATGGTCCCAAAAGCCTCTTTTCCTGGGGAAAAAATTAGAAATGGGTTTAGTAGGATAAACTGCAGACTTCGTTGCTGTATTTGGTCTTGGGGTGCAACTGGTACTCATCCTAACCCTTCCACCCTACCCATTCTAAAACTTACCCTTGCCCTCAGCTATCACCTTGGCAAGTCCTGGGGGCTTCATATCCCCCAGGTATATGTATAGTGTTTATAAAGTCTACAGTAGTGTGCAGTAATGTTATTGGCCTTCACATTCACTTAGCATTCACTCACTGACTCACCCAGAGCAACTCTGAGTACTGCAAGCTCCTTTCATAGTAAGTGCCCTGTACAGGTATACCATTTTAATCTTTCATACTGTATTTTTACTGCACATTTTCTATGTTTTGATGCACAAATACTTACCATTGTGTTATAATTGCTACAATATTCAGTCTAGTAACATGCTGTACAGGTTTGCAGCGTAGCAGCAATAGGCTATACCATTTTACCTAGGTTTGTAGTAAGCTATACCATCTAGGTTTGTGTAAGTACACTTTATGATGTTCATACCATGATGAAATTGCCTAACAACACATTTTTCAGAATGTATCCTCATTGTTAAGTGACACATGACTATACTCTCTGAATGTGGCAGTAATGAAGCTGTATACATTTTCACATATGGAGTCAACCCATGCATAAACCAAGTTTGTACCTTCTTTTCCACTTGATGACATAGGAACTCCCACGTGGCTCTACATGTAAGCTGAGGGATGGGTGCTGGGCAATAGAGATGGGTGACATAAGGGTCTGAACTACTTGCTCTTGCAGCTTACTCCTGTGCTCTAATCTGGGGCTTGATCTTGGATATTCCATTTTAATCTTATGACAGATTGCTGCTGGGCCCATCCAAATTTATAACTTGGTGGGCATGATAAAACCTAACTGATAATTAGCAGTTTAGACACATGCTCAGTTGGTACCTCATTGTTAAGCATCTGTCTCTATCAAGACAGAACAGAAGCTGTCTCCCTAAGTGTGGAATATTGCCTCCAGAGCCCAGAAAGGCCCACCAGGTGCTGTGTTTCCTTGTTTGTGGTAGGAAACACAAGATTCAGTAATTTGTCTTTTATTTTGTAGATGATTTTCTGGCTTACTTCTGAACCCCTGAAAACTAGATTCCTAAAAACCTCACTGAAGTAGTAGTTCCCTGAATCTTTCCAGAATTTACCTTCTTGTGTTAAAAAAATTAATTAGGAGGCCATTAGGCTGAGGTTGATCTAGCATTTTAAGTTCCTGCATAATCGAACGGAAGCTTGACGTAAACCATAAAACGAAACTAGAGACTTTACCAATCAGAAACCACCAACTAATGTCTGATGAAGTTCTTTCCATACTAATCAATCAAATATATTTTCTTTGTGTTACTGTTACATCAGCCTATGAAATCTCACTGCTTTCAGTAGTGAGCTAGCAGTATTCTGCAGTCATTCTCCAGGATGCATTTAGCTTCTGCTTTGCCCAGACAGGTAAGTTAAATGGACATACAATAGGGACCATCAGCCCTGCATGCTTTAATTCTTTCATGGTGATACTAGGCTGCCATCCCACCTAAGAAGAGATATTGTTTTTGACTTATTGTCTTGACTGCTCCGAGTGTGGTCTCAGGTATTTCCATATGGCCATCCTCACTATAATACCTCCCGCCACACAAACCATGAACTCAATATTTGGGGCTACCTCAACACCAAGTATATTAATTCCAAGTATATGCTTGGATACTGGGCAATGATGATTCAGTGGTCTGCAAACCCAGTGGGCCCATTGGGAACTGAATTTAACCAGGACTCCCTTTATTTTCTGGTCCTTATGTCCCCTGGATTAATAGGGAGGCCATGATAATTACTTTGGATCTCTGGGTCTCAACATTAACCAAATGTAATAATCCTCAAAGCACCTTGGACAAAATGATAATGTACTGCTGAACCGAGATACATGAAGATCTATAAGCTCAGCAGGGCGTGAAGAAAAGGAATGGAAAAGGATATATCATGCAAAGTGAAACCTGAAGAAGGCTGGGGCCAGGCCCTGTGGCTCATACCTGTAATTCCAGCACTTCGGGAGGCCCAGATGGGAGGATCGCTTGAGCCCAGGAATTTGAGACCAGCCTGGGCAACATAGTGGGACACTGTCTGTACCAAAAAAAACAAACAAACCCCAACAAATTAGCTGAGCATAGTGGCACATGCCTGTAGTTCCAGCTACTTGGGAGGCTGAGGGAGGAGGAATGCATGAGCCCAGGAGGTTGAAGCTGCAGTGAGCCAACATCATGCCACTGCATGATCTAGCATAAGTGACAGAGTGAGACTGTGTCTCAAAAAAAAAAAAAAATTCTGGTATAGCTGTACTAATATCAGAGGTGGAATCTTACCTATCTTGTGCTGAATTCAACACTCAGAAACTGTTTCCTAATGCTGAATGGTCAAATTAAATAAATGAATGTTTCAAAAATATATTTTTAAAATTATTTTGATGGATTATTGAAATAAAAGGTCATGATTTGAGGCATATAATATTTGAAATGCACTTTGAGTAAATATTAATAATGTTAATAATGACATCCTACTTTGAATAGAGTGTATTTAAATCTGGAAGATTTGAGATTTGTGAACATTTAATGGTTCAAATGTTTATCCAAGTGTGTAAGTAAAGGTAAAATTATAAAGCACGCTATGTAATTATTTTCCAAAGGGCTTTGGAAAGCTTCTGATGAACTAGATTTAGACTATCTAATACTTTTAGCAAAGAACAATAGTCCTTTTAGTTGGATAGAAAATAGGAATTGCTTCAAATTACCTGGTGTTTTAACAAACCATTATCAGACTAACAAGGTATAACTTACCTTATATAGTGATTAAGCAATTAGTGCTAGCATTTCAGAATTAGTTTCAAGAGTGAAAGAAGGTTAATGAATATGACAGAGAAGGACCCTCAGTGTTAAAGCGTTTTGCCAGGCACAAGGATATTGGCACATTTTACACATTTATTAACCTTGAATGAAAGCTATTTTCTGTCATAAAATAGTCTTCATTTGGATAAATGGGCAAAAGGCACAAATGTTTATGCCAAGCCCTTATCTGCAAAGAGAAATACAAAGTCAGAAATGGAGCATTGTCACCAGTGCTCTAGCATTAAGTAATTAGGTGGGACCATATATACAAATTGAACAAGGGTATAAGCTTGGAGTCAGACTGCCTGGCTTCAGGTCCCTAAGGACTCTGCTACTTGTTGGGTGACCTTGGGCAGGTTGCTTAACCTCTACCTTGGTTTCCTTACCTATAAAACAAGAATGACAATAGTACCCAATAAAGGCTTCTCCGATCAAGGTTCTGGGATCAAGAATTTTAAAATGCAGTGCCTGGCACTTAGTAAGTGTTCAGTAAGTGTTAGTTCATTGTTATAAATATCTGGCACATAAAGCATTAAATATACAGATGACCCTTGAACAAGGCAGGTACTGATCTCCTACGCAGTCAAAAAAACACATATAACTTTTGAGTCCCACAAGACTTAACTACGAATAGTCTACTGTTGACTGGAAGCCTTACTGATAACATAAACACATATTTTGTATAGGTGTTATTCTTACAATAAAGTAAGTTAGAAAAAATATTTAAGACAATCATAAGAAAAAGAAAACATTATTCATCAAGTGGAAGTGGATCATCATGAAAGTCTTTATCCTTGTCTTCACATTGAGTAGGTTTTAGAAGAGAAGGAAGAGGAGGGGATGGTCTTTCTGTCTCAGAGGTGGCAGAGGGAGAGGAGGTGGAGGAGGAGGAAGAGAGGCAGGAGATGCAGGAGATGCAGGCACACCCCATGTAACTTTTATTGAAAAAAATCCATGGATAAGTAGACCCATCAGTTCAAACCTGTGTTGTTCAAGGGTCAGCACATACATATACTCACATCTGTAAAGCATTTACATTATGTCACATAATATTATATCTAATATTATACTTTACATATTAGTTATATATTAGATTAGACTACATATCCTGATGCCTTTAATTTATGGTAAAAACTTGAATAATCAAATCACATCTGATGGCCTCTTATTTTCTAATCTTTGCATGTCAATTTGAGGAAAGATTTATTCCAATAGTTTCTCAAACTGTTTACTACAAATCCCAGGAAATTCCTACTAAGGAAAACTCAATTTTCCTAGGAAACTCAAGAATCTCATTGTGCAAATGTTACCTTTCATTTTAACTATTCACATTGGTTAAAGCTTCTCTATGTTGGGAAAAGAAAACTAAGCAAACTGTGTTGGTATCAAAGTGTGAGCCACAGGCTATGTTTACTCTCAGAAAAGTCTCTGGATAGTTCAGAGGAAAAAAGAGTTGGTCTCAAGTACACATAACAAGTATTATGTAGGTAACTGCTTCAATTTTCTATCAAATGTTTACTAAAGGTAATATCCAAAGCCTTCCATTATTCCTTAATAGGCAGCTGTTTGAATGGTGCTTTTGCGATAGAGATTCCTCTGCAATAAAGTTTATAACTGTAATATGGCCTCACTCCCCAGTTAATAAGACCATAGAACATTTTATTAAGCTATTCTTTGGATGTTCCCTTGGAGAATCCTCCCATTCAATTTGATCTCCCACTCTTGGTGATGCAGTAGTACAAAAAAGAAAAAAAGGTCACTCAGTTCTTTGGATAATTAAGATTTCATTAAAATAATTAAATAAGTAATGTATCTTTTGTAGTATGCACATGTGGCAAAGAGGGTTTTCCTTGGCAGAAAATGAAATTGGCCTAATAGATACAGATGCACAGAACCCTTTATCTCTAGTTAGTATCTTAAGAATGCCTGGCACACAGTAAGTGGTAAATAAATGAGTCAGAGCCCTACGATCAAAATTTTTAGAAATATCCTTCTCATCATAATTTTCAGTTCTCTATTTTTAAGTTCCAGCTCTGTGTGTATGTGTCTATTTTATCTGAAGAATCAATTTATACCAATATGCTAATCAATAACAATTCATTTTTATTCTTTCTTAAGTGATATTTGTGTCATCGCAGGCTTTTAGTAATAATGTAGGACATGGGATAGGATGGTGGTTGACACCCAAGCTCTGGAGACAGTTCAGATCCTTATTAGACCTGTAAACTTGTGTAAGTCATTTAGCCTCAGGCTTCTCAACTGTAAAATGGGAATAGCAATAGGACCTAAAAATGAGATACCTCCATGTAGAGCCCTTAGCTACATCATCATTATTAATAGAAAATGTGTGCATTGTCAGACTTAGAAATTCAGAATTTTGGAGATATTTTGTAACAATGAAACATTTTTAGAGCCAACAAATCATGCCTCCTAGGATGTTACCTGGACACCCACATTTAATGCTGGCCTCAAAAATACTGTAATATGTGGCTTCCCACCTGGTTCCCCATTGTGACTGCATTGGAAATGAGTCTACATTCATTCACCAACATAAAATTTACCCCCACAAATGTTGATATTATTTAGCATTAAATGTTATTTAGGCCTTACTGTGTGCTAAGCATATTATAAGGTACTAACGATATAGAGATAT
This sequence comes from Homo sapiens, assembly GCF_000001405.40. Taxonomy (NCBI): domain Eukaryota; kingdom Metazoa; phylum Chordata; class Mammalia; order Primates; family Hominidae; genus Homo; species Homo sapiens. Next base: position 99,066,595 of record NC_000006.12, on the reverse strand, counting down.
AAAAATGAATAAGGAACAGATTACTTCAATTCAGTATGATTAATGCCTTGGGATCTTATTTCCTCTCTTCCTGCTTACCTGGATTTTATGACTAAGAGTTGCCAAGAACAATTTTCTTGGTCTAATGTAGACATATTTCTGTACTTCCTTAGGGCTGACTTTACTTTAAAAAAAAAAGGCGGGATGTATTTCTTTTCATCTTTCCAAAGCGGTGAAAGCTTTTTCTCATTTATTCCCAGGCTGCTACCAGGTTACGACCTCTCATCACCTGGCAGAGACCCCTGATGAGGGCTGAATTGGCCATGTCTCATTCCAGTGAATAATGGGCCTTGTCACCCCTCAGTGCCCTCCAGATTTACTCACAGGTCCCTGGAGACATCACCAGCAAACAAATTCTCTGACCTGCTGCAGGATCTTTTTCTGCCACTAAAGCCCTTCTCAGGGTTCTTTGCTGACTCCTTAGCTGAGCTGCCTCAGCCTCAACCAATCTAGATGCCAAATCCAAAATATCCTCAGTCCCCCAGATGGCATATCTGCACCAGCCAGATTTCTAGATGCTTCAGTCTGCTGCAGGGAGAGCCACTACACTGTGTGTTTCCCTTTTTAATATCAGTGTGTCCTCAATCTGTGAGATATTTGTTAACCTGCAAGTACAGGTTCACTACCCGTGTAGGCTGTCTATTTGCTTTAACTTATGCCCAATAGAGTCAACTACATCTCTATACCTATACTGTGATTGGCTGAGCCCTCTTGGCCTCTCTGAAAGCACAGCTGGTCAGTTTTAACCCTAAGTGATTGCTCTGCTTCTAGATACAACTTTGAGTTGATTGTGGAATGGTAGATAAACTGAATAAATAATGTTGGCTGGGCTGATGAATGGCTCTCTCCTTCTTTCTGCTAGTCTCAGTAGCTCTGGGAACATCTGATGGTGCCCAACTCTGCGAGCTACTGGCAGACCCTTTGTGAGTAAGTATTTTATTCTATCACTTTGGAAGAATACTTTTGCATTCAGAGCAGAAGTCTACTGAATAAGCCAGAGGTACCCAGAAGAAATCACTTCAGTTTGCTTGTTAGGTTTGTTAGTTGTTCTTTGGTGTATCACCCTACCTTCCGGATGATCCTAGAGTGATTTTTGCCTTTCAGTGCTGTAGGATCAGAGAAATGCCCATCAAATGTTGTCTCTAATCTCTTTAGACAGTTCAAACTTCTGGAATGCCCCAGTGTTTCAATTTAGCATTTACTGTTGTGTGTCTTGTGTAAATAAGTGCATTTGAAATTTAAGGCTGTTATAATGGGAGACTCAAGATGTGGAGAAAGAGGAGAGAGATTTCTACCAAAATTTTCAGTGGCCAAATACGGGCAACATATTTTGTACTTATCCTCCTGGGTAACCTCAGGGCACCAACTTCCTTTCATTTCCTTCCACTCCAAGCCCAGAAGCCCATGTTAGCAGTGACTACAGACTGGATATTATCTAAACTCTCAGTGAATCACAGCTGACAGTGCTGCTATTTCTAAGCCACAGAATTACTCTTTGAACAAAATGCAAGCGCTGTGTCTTTTCAACCTGTTCTTCAACAGTGGAAGCAGCAGGATTCCAGCACTGTATAATAACTGTCAGAAACAATTTCTGCTCTGTAAGAGAGGTGAAGCAAAATGTCAAAATATTTGAATACATTTCATTGAGGATATCTTCTTTTAAATTAGTGAAGGCTAGAGAAGAAGAATCCCATTCTCTCGCCTAATAAATATGCATGGAATTGAGGAGCCACGTGCATTCTAATAAAGCTGAGTCCTGCCTTGTTAATGCATTATAGGTCCACAACAATAAAACACAATAATTACTAGTTAAAGAGATGCCAGTGTTGGCCTTTTACCAACATCCCTGAACATATAATTCATAATAAATTTAGTAAGGCTGAAGTTGGCTTGTTAATTAACCTATTTTCTGCAATGACTGGGATGGAGAGAGCAACTGTATCATCCAACAAGGCACCCTCCCGAATGTGCACATCTCATTGTTGGTTGGGCTCTGCGGTTGAACTTACGAGCCTCACCACAGGATCCTTGTTTGCGATAATACAGATGAGAAAGTTTGGGGAGAAATGGTAAGGGAATATCTTACTGTGCTAATGCCACATGTGAAAGAAAGAAATTGTAGAAGAGTATACACACTGACTGATGGGGTTAGGGGATTCTTTAAAGTCCACATCTTGGGCCAAGAAGGAGCTGATGAGAGGTAGGTAGAGTCCTATGGGCTGGATCAGGATGGTGGACTATGCACATGTGACCCTCCTCTCTTTTGGCTCAAAACCCATTAAAATAACAGAGATGGTATAAACACGTTACAGTGCTGGGAAACAGGACAGGGTAGTGTTTCTGCCAGAAACTGGGAAATGTCTGGACTACGGAAAGTAGAAGGAATAAGTTTGGCAAGAGCAGAGGGCGCCACAGTCTAACACAAGCTGAAAAGAAAACCTCTCTGAACGTATGCTTCTCTGGATTTGCTGTTGTCACCCAGTAAACTCATAGGAAGAGGAGAAAGAGAGAGTGAGACAATAATCAGGAAAAAAATTTTTTTAAGCCCCGTTAATAATATTTAGGCTAGCCCTCCCCCTCCTCATTCTCTCACACTGAACAAAAGGTGGTGGAGTGCTTGCTACCAAGCTAAAAGTAACTCCAACTTCAGGAAAGTGAAGATGTTGCCCAAGGAGTGCTCTAGGTAGTGCTCTAGCTATCATGCTGTTATAGCTGGACATTTCTGTATTAAAATTTAGTATCTTTAGGATACCTAGTAATTCTGGTCCAGAAAGTCTTTTCATTGTATTACCGCAAGTATTATTACAACTCAAGTTCAGAACTAAGCTTCTGAGTTTCCTCTCCCTTAGAAATCCAATGGGCCTGGATCCCTCAAACTTTGGGATGAGTGGGGAGGGAGGGTGCTTGCCCAAAGGCCTGAAGGAGCTCTAAATCTATGCTAAATCTCCAACAAAGGTAGGGTGAGAGACAAATACACTAATGTCCTTGAATAACTAATATATGACTTATTTTACCAATGGAGAGGAGGACCATGGAGGATTGTGGGTATGAAGCAGGCAGGCTGACTGGGGCCTCCTTTTCCCCTTCCAGGCAGTGGAGACGCATAATGAGAAACAGAGGAAAGCCATGCTAGGTCTATACATTAGTCAACCTAGTGTATTACTCATAAAACGGCTGGCAACAAAGGATCACCAGGCACTGGATAAAAACTAATGGTATTGAACAGAAAACTGAGTGAGCTAACAGAATGGTTGGCAACAGAGATAATTCAAAGAACTGAAGAAAACATTAAATCGGTCCTAATTAATATCCTGAAGGAAATTCTAAAGACTACTGGCCCGTGAAAGCAGCAATCACAAACTGAAGAATTCTTGGAAATTAAAATTTTGATCACAAAAGGATATAGGTAAAAATAGATTACTAATCTAGTAAATAAAGTTGGGGAAATTTCTTAGAACATAAAGGGAGACAGATTTAAAAATTGTGAGAACTGACTTTAAGCATATGGAAGAGTAATAACTAAGGGAGTCAGAGAGAAGTGAAAAAAATAATAGAATTTATAGAAAAAAAATTTCTCAATATAAAGCACAAAGCTTCAGATGGAAAGGGTCAATTGAATGGTAAGGAAAGTGAATGAAAAAAGGCCCATTAATCATAGCCTAATGAAATATCTGAGCAAAGATATTTCAACATTAAGACATTTGCTATTGAAACTTACTACTCTAATAGTTGGAAAGCTAAAATCTGTGTTAATAGCCTGAATAATATGTTTGCATACACTCACCATTACTGTTCACATTATATTGGCTGAATACAACAAAAAAGTTATTACTAGACATAAATCTTGGTAAGTAAACTTAAGAAGATTCAACCTTACTATTAATAGAAAAAAGCAAATTTTAGCAATAATGCAATACGAATGTGTTCCATTTATAGAGCATTTAAAAGTTTGAGAATGGAGAAATGGCAGTCTCAAACACTTGCTGGGAAGTAAAATGAGAAAGTATCCTTTCTGGTATCTACTACAGAGAAATACCTGTGGCTGTGCACGAAACTTCATGTGGAGGATATTCATTGTGATATTATGTATTATAGTGAAGAAAGAAAAGAGTAGTAACCCAAATGTTAAAAACAGAAAAATGGGTAAAATAAATGGTGATATAGTCATACTGTGAAATAAGGTGTAGTTGTAAAAAAAATCAAATGCAGATTTTTGAAGTTCTCGGAATGAAAACAGTGTGACATTTGAAAAGGAGGTAGAGAAACACAGGGTGGTGGGTCTGATAGCTTTCCTTCTGTCGTCTATATTTGCCTACCATTTGTACACTGATCAGCAGAGCCCCATTGCCAAGACAAACCAGCATCATGTTTTACTTCCCCATACCCTGCTTGTTTCTCTCAAGTCTGGAAATAGAGACCCCATAACATTTATGAAAGCACTCTTTTCTCTTTCTAATCCAAAAAATGTAGAGAAAGAAGCTTTCCCCTACCGCCACCGTAATTTCTGTTTCTCAGAGAAACTAAAGCTAATAGAATTGGGATTCATTGAAATTTACTGTAGAAAATCTGCATTTTAAGAATTTATGTTATAAATCAATCTAATAAATAAAGAAAATTTGGAATTTTCTTTATTCCAAATCAGCCCACATCTTAAGAAGAAATTCTCTTGGATACTACCTCCTCCCCCTTCACCTCTCTCTCCCTCTCTCTTCCTTCAAGGCTACTTTGAAGAGGGGATGGATAATAAAAGTTGTTCTTACTTTCTTCTCAAATTGTGCCCCCATATTTTCCTGCCCTTCTCCAGCTCTCTCACACCATCCTGGTAGCCTGGGGGTTGTGAATGCTACTTGAGCGCATGCTTGCTTGAACTGAGAATCTGAGGAATGAAACATCATTTGTTTTTCACTTATGAACTATCTCCACAGTAAACTGTTCACTTTCTGTTTAAAAACCAGATGGAGGAAGGTCTTCTTGGCAGTCTAGACCAACAGGATAGGGCACCTTACACTTACCTTTAATTTATATCATCTCTGCAAAGAAGCAGTACTAAAATTAATTCAGTGACTGAGAAATTAGGAAAGAAAATTGAGAAATATAATAAGCAATCTGCATTGTGTTGTTCATAAATCAAAATCTAGAGGAATCTGCATTTTAGCAAGTTCCCTCTGTGATCCCTTTGGGCAGCCAGGTTTGGGATGACACTCCTGGTGAGAGTGTTGCCCTTTCCAGTGGAAAAATAAGGGATGGAACAATACGATGTACGCTATTGATTCCAGAGCATTTGTGAGCATCTGGCGTTTGACTGGCTGCTTGCTCAGACTAAGAGAAGACAGGAAAAGAGGCCTAGAAAAAGCTCAGATAAGAGATGATGAGGCTAGCTGTTGTCTGTACCCCTTTGCAGTTCCCTTGAAGCCTGGTTGTAATTATTGTAACTGGTTGTGGCAGATGCTCTAGGATGTTTATAAGGATCCCAAACTCCTCATTTTATTTTAGTTAGAATGGGTGTCCAAGCCTTAAGCCACCCCAAAGGGTGAAGTTAGTTCTTGGGAGGGGACGTGAAAATAATCTTAGATATGACAATAGTTTGTTGCCCTCAAAAGCACAACCCTGCCCAACAAAATCTTAAGCTGTAGTACTTAATTCCTCTCATTAGGGAGAAATTTAATTTTTAATCTATCAATTAATTAAAATTATGTAATTTAAATTCATTGATTAAAATAAAATTTTTCTCCTAAGGGGAATAGTAACACAAATAAAAGTTGAGAAACATCCAACAAAATCTGACTGAGGCAGATATATTCTTCCTCCAACTTTTCCAAAACAAAAACCGAAAAAACATACAAAAGAGAGAAGCAAAGCAGCTATTTTCCTCAAAGTCCCTGAGTCTTTTGTAATATCTACAAAAGGGAATATTAAATTCTATGAACACATTCCATTCTTAGAGCAGCTTGAAGTCATTCACATTTTTAACATCCTGTGGGAGAAAAAACTTAGAATTGTCTTATGTCCAATAATCAATAAGACATCTTGCATAGACTTAAGTCTTGATCTACACTGCTCTGTTTTTCACCTAAAATATCAGAAGAGCTGCTTATATGACAAGAAATAAAATTTGATTCTAAAAATAATGAGCCAATCACATAAGTTTTATAGCTTTTTTTGTGGTTAGGAAAATGATATTATTTTTCCCAGTACTGATTAAAGCTTTAGAAAGAGGGACTTATTTCTCCCTGTGTTATCACAATTTTTCTATCACTGCCCTCTGAACTCTGAAAAACTTATCTGCAGAAGTTAGGAGGTTCTGTTAATGTGTGTGTTGACTTAGGCTAATATAGCTTTTTGTAACATTAAACCAAATATATACTACCTGTGAACAAGACGAAAGAAAATTCACACAGTTGGAAAACTCTCTTCTTATAATACAATACTACCCATGGGAGTCATTTGAATTGGAGAATAGACCAGGTAAAAAGCTATTCTTCTGCTTCATTAACAGTCTCCACCACTTGGAGGAATTTTGGTCCTACGTACTTCTGTGTAACCTTAATCATTTTATTATTGTACCATTGAAACTGTTAACCTCTTATTCATTTCAATAGGAGTAGAATCTCTTTGATGACATAAATGAGACTCCATTTGGATCCTCACACATGTCTGGGTAATTTTAATTCCAAAGTATTGTGTGGCCTCTTGGCTAATTGGTTAAGAGGCTCTTTTCTCTTCCACTTACCTCTTTTAAAATTGCCTTGAGTTCTGAAAGCAGTACAAGGGATCTTTTAAGCTGCCTTGTTCACTCCTCTTGACATGAGCTATAAATATTTACCTAAAAGAAACACGGACTATGGGATTTTTGAATTTTGTAGGAGACATAGCAGGAGTACGAATAGCATGTAGATTTCTCCATTCATTGGGTCATCCCATTTATCCAAAATAAAAATACTTGACTAAATTTCCTTTAAAACTTCTACTTCCTCCTAGGGTAAAATCTGAATTCTGTATGTACTCTTCGTTTTAGGTAACATAAATGTCACAGATATTTATTTATAAATAAATAGGAAATGTTGTCAACTTAAGACCAAAAAATTTGTGATTCATGTGTGGAAGGGATAAGAATATTAAATATTTAGGGTCTTTCTCTGACATTGCAAATCAACAATTGCAATTATTATTGATCATCTATTCCATAGGTAGGTGTCATTTTTGTTCCTAATCTGATTCCCTTCTCAATAATAGAACAAGGTGAAGACGGAGGTCACAGCTTATACCTTGACTGAGAAAGGTCTCTTTCATGCAAGTAACAGAAGGTCTCAAAGTGTGAGGGGAGTTTATTGGCTTGTGTAAAGCCCAGGGGTAGGGCTGGCTTTTGGGGACATCTGGACAGTGTTTATAGGCGGATCTCTGTTTGTCACTCAGCTAGGCTTTACTCTCCTCAGTGAGTTGGCCTCTTTTTCAGGCTTTATTCTGTGGCAAGAAGACTGTTGAAAAGATTCTGAACCATGCTTGCATAGACCTATAGTAGTTGCTTCCTGTTTCTCTTCTAACTATGGTTTAACATTATGCCCGCTCAGATCTGTGTAACCTCCAGTCCTGCTTAGCTGGCATCCTGGACTATTTCCTATCAAGTAAATTATTTTATTGCTCCCTAGAAGTTGATATGACATTCTGTGAGTACCAAACACATCACATGGTTCTTATTTTCCTTATGAATTAATGGTCCTTGATCCTAGCTACATAACTGAATACCCAGGAAGCATTTTAAAAATACCACTACCCAGGGCCCACCTTTGAACAAGTAAATAAAAAGTGTCTAGGAATGGAGCCTAGGCACTGGTATATTTAAAAGTTCTCCAGTGATTCTTAAGTGCAGTCTTAATGGTATGTTCATAAATGTTTAATAACTAGCTTTCTGGGGTAGAGAGGTGGGAAACAGCAAGCCCTGAGTTGTGGTATTTGCTGATTTCCATGGTGTCAATACTGCTCCCACCCCACCCCACCATCGCCCATTCAAACTGTGAACATGATATCACAGAACGTGGGGTTGGGAAAAGATGCATAAGACTGGCTCTGTAGTAGTGCAGCGTGTCTCCAGCACACCCTACATGCTGGTAGACTAATAGGTTTGAATGATTACTAGATACTTCTCTGCAGTACTGACACTGTTGACTAATCTCTCTTTCAAAAAGCTGTCTCTCCTTGGTTTCCGTATACATTTCCCTAGTTCTTTTCCTATCTTCCCGGATGCTCTTTCATGAATTATCTTTTCAGACCTATCTTTTTTTTTTTGCTGGACTTTACATGTCTGAGCTCCTCAATACTTGGTCCTAAGCTCTATTCTCCTTACACCAATTGTCTCTTACAAGGTCTCACTCCTGCCCTTGCTCCTTTTACTATGTAATTAATGTCTCTGAATATGCCTTTAGCAGTGACCTCTCTCTGGGACAGACCCCAATATCCAGCTGCCTATTCCATATCTCCACATGGTTGTCTCATAAATACCTTAAATTCAATGTTGTAAATATGGATGGTACTTGTGGTTCTTCTTTCATCCTCCTAAATGTCATTCTCCTCTAGCATTCTATAGCTTAGTGAATGGCACCACTCTTCACACTATTAGACAAGACAGAATTCAGGGAGTCACTTGACACCTGCTCACCCTCACACCCTAATATCAAACAATTACTACAGCCTATTGATCTTTACCTTTCTAAATGGCTCTTGAAACCATCCACTTTTCCCATGATCAGTGATAAAAGAGACGTGCAAGGAGAGAGAAGCTAACTGTCCAGAGAGGTGCGTATGAACTGACGCTTGAAGGATGAGTAGGAAATTGCTAAAGAAAGGGAGGAAGGTATTCTGGGCAAAGAAAGCAACATGCTAACCCTTAACCACAACAGACTCACAGATGCCATTCTGAACATCTCTACCTGCCTGTCAAGGCATCTTGACCTTAATACAGGTGAAAAAAAAAAAGCACCTTGATTTTTCCCTTTTTTTTTTTGAGATGGAGTCTTGCTCTGTCACCCAGGCTGGAGTGCAGTGGTGAGATCTCGGCTCACTGCAACCTCTGCCTCTGGGGTTCAAGTGATCTTCCCACCTCAGCCTCCCCAGTAGCTGGGATTACAGGCGTGTGCTACCATGCTTGGCTAATTTTTTTGTATTTTTAGTAGAGATGGGGTTTCACCATGTTGGACTTGAACTCCAACCTCCACCAGGCTGGACTTGAACTCCTGACCTCAAGTGATCTGCCCGTCTCGGCCTTGCAAAGTGCTGGCATTACATGTGTGAGCCACCACACTTGACCCTTCTCCATATTTTGAATCAGTCTTTCCTATCTCAAGAAATGGCCAACTTTCCATTCACCAGTTGCTAGATGCAAACACCTAGGCATCATCACTTATCTTTTACTTTTTGTTGCTTCCACCTGCAGTTTCTTGGCAAGTTTTATCTGCTCTACCTAAAAATATGTCCTAAATCTATGCATTTCTCCCTATCTCCACTGCTATCACTTTTGTCCAAGCAATCTATGTATTTTGTTTAGCTCATAGCAATACCCTCCTAAGCAGCCTTCCTAAAATCCTTTTTCAATATAGCAATCGGAATGATCTTTACAAAACACAATCATCATATTTCTCCCATGCTTAAAGTCCTCCAGTTGCTTCCTATTAAACTTGGAATACATTCCAACTTTTTGCCCTGGCCTGTAAGTCTCAACATGAAGTGTGCTTTGGCTACCTTTTCTACTGTGTTCACTGCCCACCTCACTCCATGTCTCCACCTGATTTCTTTCTGTTCTACAAATGCACTAAGCTCACTCCCCCTTCAACATGTCCTCTTTTCCCAGGTCTTAGGAATGTTCACACTTGTTGCTCTTGTCAGTAATGATCTGACCCCAAACCTTCATCTCTCTCTTTAGGGAGGCCTTTCTGTCCATACAGATTTAAGTAGCCACCAGCCCACCCACTCCTACTACTGGCCATCACATCACTCTGTTCCATTTTCTTTATAGCACCTCTCATCTGAAAATGTATTCATTCATTTTCCATCCCTCTGCTAGACCATCTTCCTCCCTCCTACCCACCACAACTATAATAAAGGTCTTTGTATTAGTCAGGGTTCTCTAGAAGGACAGAACTAATAGGATAGATGTATATGTAAAGGGGAGTTTATTAAGGAGTACTGCCTCACATGATCACAAGGTGAAGTCCCACAGTAAGCCATCTGCAAGCTGAGGAGCAATGAAGCCAGTCCGAGTTCCAAAACCTCAAAAGTAGGGAAGACGACAGGGCGGCCTTCAGTCTATGGTTGAAAGTCCAAGAGGCCAAAAGCTGAAGAACTTGGAGTCCGATGTGTGAGGGCAGGAAGCATCTGGCACAGGAGAAAGATGTAGGCTGGAAGAGTCAGCTAGTCTAGTCCTTCCATGTTCTTCTGCCTGCTTTTATTCTAGCAGCACTGGCAGCTGATTAGATTGTGCCCACCCAGATTGAGGGTGGGTATGCCTCTCCCAGTCCACTGATTCAAATGATTCAAATCTCCTTTGGCAACACCCTTACAGACACACCCAGGAACAATACTTTGCATCCTTCAATCCAATCAAGTTGACACTCAGTATTAACCATCACAGTCTTCACGAACATAGGGATCCTCTCTGTCTTACTCATCCCAATTTTCCTAGCATCTAGAATGGTGCCTTCAGTGTAGTAAGCTCTCAATAAGTATTTCTGTTGACAAATATTTACCATTGAAATTTTTTTCAAAGACTAGTCTCTGAACAAAGATAAAGAAACTGTTTCCATATGTTTTGTTCAAATGACTTATATGACCTCAAGCTATCAATTATTCCCCTTCTTTATTTGGTTCTTTACTCTATAAAATGAAAATAATATTATTTCATATATATTTTCCAGTATGAATTGTAAAGATATTTGAGGATAAAAAGTATTTTTATAGCATAAATACATGATCAATAAATACATGGCAAGGACATCAGTGGTTAAATCATGATTATCTACCTCCCCTCCATACCAGCTCCTAAGGAGCACAAATCTTGGCCTAATAATGCAAATCAGAGCAAGGAATGAGTAGGAAATTAAAGAAGAAAGCAGGTTAATGGGATTTATATTGCAGATGGAGAGTTACTCATTGAAGAGAGAAAAAGAAAGCCAGAAAAAGGGAGCAAAAAGAAAAATATAAGCTGGAAAGATTGTTCTGGCTGAATTGGACGGTAGGTTTTGGAGAGCTCAGAAGAGGGAAGAGCATTAGGATCAGCTCTGGCAAGAAGGATATGCATGCAACTGTGGGGGCATGGGTGTGGATAGGGAAAGAGGATTTTGAAAAGATTTGCTGTGGTTTATGAATCCTTTTTTGGCATTTCCAGGAGATGACAGTAAAGACTTAATTTGTTTTCCAATTAATTTTTTGGCTACCAGGTTGTTTTCTGTACTGCAAGCCCACAGCTCTTTTCTGGGATGTTCCTTGGGGAGAGAGCAAGCAGGCCTGGCTTTGTGAGGGCTACAAAGGGAAATGTAAGTGTCACCAGTCAACATCTGACCAACTTTGATATTACACTTCCTGTAGAGTTAACTGGGACATTGTGTGTCAAATGCAGTGACTTATATGCTAGAAGAATGAGAAGACAGAGACAAAGAACTCAAATAAGTGACGTTCTCCAGTGCAGAAAGCACTGGGCTAGGAATTTGGAGAAGTTTATTAACTTGAGCAAGATTGTACAGCAGAGCCAGAATTTTACTGGGCTCTATCTGGCTCCAGAAAAGCCTTATGACCTAGTGCCTTCTGGCTCTGATGAAGTAAAAGAACCTTGGTCTTGGCACTGGAAAGCAAGACGATGAATCTGTCTTTGGCTCTTCTCAGCCCCATGACTTTGGGAACATCACAAAACCATATCCTCATTTCCAAAATGAACGCCAGGTCAGTGGCTTCCAGACACCAGTCTGAGGGCCAATGGCAGTCTATGAGGAAGTTTTCATTGGTCAGTGGCAAATTTGAAAAAAACAAGATAATGTTACATCTAACATGGTTATATATTTGTTACATTTGCTAAGTGGGCTCTCTTTTTTTTTTTTTTTTTTTTTTTTGAGACAGAGTCTCACTGTGATGCCCAGGCTGGAGTGCAGTGGCACAAACTTGACTCACTGCAACCTCCACCTCCTGGGTTCAAGCGATTCTCCTGCCTCAGCCTCCCAAGTAGCTGGGATTACAGGCATGTGCCACCACACTCAGCTAATTTTTGTATTTTTAGTAGAGACGGGATTTCACCATGTTGGCCAGGCTGGTCTCAAACTCCTGACCTCAGATGATCCGCCTGCCTTGGCCTCCCAAAGTGCTGGGATTACAGGCATGAGCCACCACACCTGGCTGAAGTGGCCTTTCTCGGAAATGGTTGTTCTGTTTTTGTTGAAAAAAATAACCTTTATTTTATGATATCACGGTGATGTAGATACTAGTTACTTTTGAAGAAAAAACTCTGTCTTGGCTTATCATTGTAAGAAGTTCACAACTCTCGTAGGTCCACCAACATCTGTGAGTTCATTGAATTAGATAATTTCTAATGTCCCTTCTACTTTAGAAAATTTTGGCTAGAGAGGAGAGTTGCAAAGTCAAATGCTTGAAAAGTTTGGTCAAGTATGTAAATATTGAATAAGGCTGGGTGTAGGACAACGGGGGCCAAGCTCTTTATAACAATCCAACTGTAGCATTTACTAGTTGCACTGCCTTTTCAACAACACTGTTCATCTCAAACAAATAATAGCCAAATAAAGGTATGGGTGGCTAGTATGTGACTACTGGCCATCACTTTGCAAATCCTGCTCAATTAACTTTTAATGGTTTTCTTGCAGTTCTAATAGTCTGAGTTCTGTTTTGAATCCCCCATCAAAATATGTAGCATATTATTTTTTGTGTAATTTCATTCATTAGTTAGCATGGCAATAAAATCATATTATTTTGTGACTTGTGTTTCATATAATTATGGAGATTGTTTGACAACAAGAGTACATATTTATTAAGTGCTATCAAAATGTAGGTTTTTTGCCTGTGTAAAATATGTGGAATCAGGGCCTGTTTAGGGTAGTTGAAAAAACATATGCTGAATTTATATATTGACTGTGTCGTAGCATATGATCTCACAGCAGAACTTCTACTAGGTCTCACTGTTTCCATTTTTATTTGTTGTTACTTCATGACTATGGTGCTGGTGTTCCCACAAAATTAATGAAATAAACAGTTTGGTTATCCGCTGCATTACAAAATCTCAAATGCAAGAACTGAGGCTAATGTAACTATTTTCCAATTTTAGAAATAGCATTGCAGGCTTTTAAACATGTTCCAAAAGTTCTAGTTCTGCAGATTTTCAACTTTATGAACTGTTGTAAAGTATCCTTTTTCTGTAATGTAACTTTAATCCATCTTCCTTTTGCAGGGGGAAAGAAGAGAATCAGCTACAAAAGAAATTACCTCATGGAGGTATGTAGAGTGAGAAGACACATAATCAATCTACCTAAATCTTTGTTTCGATTTATGATTGTAGATGGGGCTACAAACTTCCAGACATGATAAGGATCTAGCCCCTTTGGTGTTGATTCCTACAAAAGTTCTGTAAGGAGGGAAAAAGTGTGATGGGTTTGAGTATGATTTGAAGTAGCACTGAGAATCAAGAACAGGAAGAGCTGAGTGATATGTGACCTCAGATTTCTTGTTTAGAGGTTCAGCCCTCATTGGATAAGGTCCATGGGAGGCCCCACACCTGGCTAGTGGCAGAGCCAATATGAGAGCACATGCTTCCTCCCTTTCTCTATGACTCCAGATTAATCACTACACAACAGTTGTCCTTAACCATTTTTGCAAGCCTCGGCCTCTTTAGTACCCATTGTGATAACATTATCTTTAAAATTATATCCTTATTCCAATGCCCTTTGATTCATCTTTCAGAGTTCAAGCATCTAGGAGAAGTCCTGTCTCCCCTCCTTCCTGTGCATTGCCACAATCTGCTGTGATACTCATCCAATTATATATATTTTGGGTTCTGAGTTCTGATTCAACTTGCCTTTTGGAGTCTCAAGTCATGGGGCTCCTTCCTGACTTTTCTCTAAGCTTTCAGAAGCCAGGCATATTCAAACCTCAGGTCACATTTCCCAGAGTGAGGCCTATATGAAAACAAAGTTCAGTGGAAACTTTCATGAGTTTCTGTTGTTGTAGGGGTGAGCAAAAAAGGAAAGAAAAAAGATTCCATGATTGTCTACATCTAAGAAACATTGATTCAAATAATTGCAGGCACTTTTTTTCTGAAAGACTTCTCAGAGCATGCAATTTCCAAAGGGTGCTATAGTAGGGTTTCTGACATATATTTTAATTTGTAACTCTTTTTTATTCAAGGAGCATCTTGAAGGACTATGTTCTAATGAATTCACCTGGGAAAATTCTACTATTATGACTGATAGTCAAATGTTAATGCATAGAGAAGAACCTGGAAGCTTACCAAATATTCCTATTTTAAGTATCGTCTTCACCAACAGTGAGTGATTCAACAGTTCTTTTGGGGAACCCAGGAATCTGAATTTTAAAAAGCGTTCTAGAACAGTGCTTCTCAAACTTTAATTTGAATAGGAATTACCTGGGATTTTGTTAAAGTGCAGATTCTAATTCCATATACCTGTGTTGAGGCTCTAGATTTTGCATTTCTAACAGTTCTCAGATGAGGCCGTTGCTGCTGGTCGGAAGCCCACATTTCCATGGCCTCGATGGTGCTGACCATCCAGTGTTTCCATGTCTGTTATTATCACGAATGTCATTGTATTCCAAGGTTTCTGTCACTTTCAATTCACGAACAAGTGTTACCTTATTGGTATAATGATTAATTTCAGGGTCATAATTTCCTTTATTGTGTATTCTACTATCTGAGAGGTGGGACAGTTAGCAAATATGTCAAGATGCATCAAATATTTGTGTTCTAACCTGTTAAGATAATGCAGCTCTGACCTAACATGATAGTTGCAGTCCTTAAAACTCACTGTTCTATCACTAATCATGCCAGTCCTTGGAGCCAGTTCAGATACTGTTATTCAGGCCTTTAGTCTTACTGAGTATATTTGCTTCTTTCTTTTTTTTCTGCTTGTATTAGGGTTCTCCAGAGAAATAGAACTAATAGGATATATCTTTAAAAATCTATTTCTCTATCACCTATCTAATAGGATATATTTTTTAAAAATCTATTATCTATCATCTATCTAATAGGATATATTTTTTAAAAATCTATCATCTATCTAATAGGATATATTTTTTAAAAATCTATCTATCATCTATCTACCTATCTATCATTATATAGTTATATATTTATTATGGGAATTGGCTCACTTGATAATGAAGGCCAAGAAGTCCCATCATCTGCCATCTGGAAGCTGGAGAACCAGAAAAGCCAGTTGTGTCATTCAGTTGGAGTCCAGAGACCTGAGAATGGGGTGGACGGAGGCTGATGATGTAAGTAGTGGTCTGAGTTTAATGGCTGGAGAATCAGGAGTGCAAGGGCAGGAGAAGATAGATGTCCCAGCTCAAACAGGAGGAGCAAATTTTTCTTTCCTCCTTTTTGTTCTTCTCAGACATGCCCAGCTGTATTGGTTAGGGCATCTTCTTTCTTCAGTCTACCGATTCAAATGCTCATCTCTTCCAGAGACACCCTCACAGACACACCCAAAAATAATTCTTTACCAGCCATCTAGGCATCCTTTAGCCCAGACAAGTTGACATATAAAATTAACCATCACGCTATTGTTGACATACATTTGACTTCTACATAAGTTATAAACCCCATAAATTTAATTATTGTCTTTGCTTGTAACAATACATTGTTTTTTAAAAGAATTGAGAAAAGGGAAGAATAATCTGTTGTATGTGTTCACATATTTACTATTTCTAGCCCTCTTTCTTCTTTTGTGTAGATCTGTATTTCCATCAAATATCATTGCCTTTCTCCCTGAAACATTTCTTATAGTGTGGATCTACTGCTGCAGAATTCTCTTGCCTTTTATTTATCTAAAAATTCTTCATTTCATCTTCATTTCTTTCCTTCTTTTCATTTTTTTAAATTATAGATTTATAGCAAATTTACTTCCCTCCTTAAAATACACCTACACACACGCACACGGCATTCCCATGCACCAATTAATTTTTATTTTTGAACGGTTTGTATGCCAATAAATCTGGGACTCCAAGTACATGTGTATTAGTACATTTGATACCCGGTAAGTGACTGCTACACTGTTTATTTTTCTTTAAATCATTTTTCTCTTTCTGACTCGATATGAATCATCTCTACTAACCTATCATCAAGGTCATGAATCTTTTCTTTTGCAATGTCCACACTGCTATTAAGCCTATCCAATTTTTTAAAAATTATTACATTTTAAAAGTTTCAAATATTGCATTATTTAGTTGTAGAATTTCCCTTTGATTTTTAAAAATAGTTTTTGTTTTTTCTGAGATATCTATCTTTGTGCATTATATCCATGTTTTCCTGTGTATTCCTTAGTATATTTATAATAGTTATTTTAAAGTTTTCTGCTAATTTCAATATCTATCAACTGTGTTTTATTTTAATATGATTCATGTCTTTCTACTTACTCAAGTCTCATCATTTTGTACTGTGCTCTGAACACTATGTATTACACAGTGGAGACTGAGGAAAAACTTTATGTTTCATTTCACTGATTCCCCAGAATATTCAAACCCCTTCTTCTCGGTGGTTAGGCTAAGGCCAGTTCATTTGGATTTCTCCGAGAGCAGAGTGGAGCCTGTGTCAGGCTGCAGCGTTGATTAGATTAAGATCACCTGTAGTTAGCCCAACCCCCAAAATCCTGTGCTAGCACTTTGTTTTTGATCTTGTCAGTATTTAAGTGGGGAGAACGTTGGGCTACAGTTTCAGATATTATTGATTGATTTTTGGATTCATATCTTCAGGGCTCAAGAATCCACATGCAAAGAAGACTCTGTGATTTCTTTCTAATTTCTAGTATCTTGTTTATTGGATTCAGGCTAGGGTTAAGGATGGAGAGAGAAGGATTTTCAAGCACTGTGCCTTTGGGTGTATTCCAGATTCTAATCCATTATGCCAGCCCAGACTGTCTTTGTCCCTGCAGTCTCTTCATCTATGGCAAATTTTCCATTGATTCCCTACAGATCAGACAGCTGCCCCTGGAGATTTTTCTCACTTATGAAGTATTTGTTTCCCTGGAACTGAGTTAATCAGGCTTCGTTGCATCCTCTGTTCTTTGCTAGCCCCATTGACAAGTATAATTTTTAATTTTCCCTGATTTTGTTATTATTGTTTCTTTAACAGTGAGAACAAAGGTTTTTTTTGCTTCCTTCTTCATCCTAAACATTTTAAATAATCACAAAAATGTTATCTCCACATATTTAAAATAAGTAAACCTAGTACACATTTAATTGTGAAGCAAATAATTCTTACTAGCAAATTTCTTGGATAAACTCCAGTTACTATGCCCTGAATGAAAGCTGTCATCCAATTTACCTTGATTTCTAGTTCACAGTTGAAATCCTTCTTGAGGCATATAAAATCTTCTTGGGCTACATCGGGTGTATAGTATCATTGTTGATTTTGTGTTTGCTAAATGGGTACTCTAGTTGGGATAATTTCTGTGAATACCTTCTTATCAGTTTTCCAAGGAAATAATTTCCTTTGGTTTTGCTCCCCCTTATCATTCTTCCTTTGCTTTTTCATATAACAGAAGTAGTAATTGTACCAAAGACAGAACCTTACCCCAACACCATATCCCATGGTGTTGGGGTAAAATGCTGTCTTTCTTGACTTTTAGAGAAAAAGATGAACATTTCTCTTCCCACAAGTTTTCCAGCTGGAAATGACTACCATTAATGCCATTAAAATTCATTTATAATTGCTCTCTTGACAGCTCTTTAGTAGTGATTCGAGCTTACCCTCAAATTCAAAACTTCCATAGTTGTTTTCTGAAGGAATTTGGAACCCTATTAAAGTATACATTGAATAAAATTTAAACCTATTTTTACAAAGTTAATTTAAAATAGCTTTATGACATTGCTGTTTGAATTATGTTCATCATTGTTATCTTACATTTAAATTGACTATTTATGTTAATATCATTCAATTTTTTGCATAATAGGAAAAGGAATTTAAAATGGAAATCATACCAGGGAGATATATATATAACAATTGCTGCAAATGGCGAACTCTGCGAGTTCTCTCTGACCATGAGAAGATTGTGGCTGCTCTTCCATTCCCTTTCATCCTGAGTCTTCTTCTGATTGTTGAAGACTTTCAATCATTGCCCCTTAGATTTTTTTTCCCACAACTGTGTCTTATTGTGGGCCAAGGAAGAAGCAAAAAGGAGGGAACTAAGACAAAGGAGAACAAAGGTTTCGTAGCTGCATAGCCTTTGGAGTCAGGGGATAGGTAGAAAGTTTCTCTTCATCTCTTTTATTTTCTCCTCTTTCTTCCTCATCTGAATCTTTCTTTTCCCTTGTATTTCTCATTCTCATTGCCTTCTAAGAAATAGGCATACATTCATACAAGACCAGTGAGGTCCTAAATATCAGATCCTTTCTTCTCCCAGCTTATCTCTGTCATATTCACTTCAACCTTTGTCTTTGTCATAGCCAAACCATCCTACTTCTGTTACTTTTAAAAAGGAGTGAGAGGAATTTAAGTTACCAAAAATGTAGTCACAATCATTATCAAATGTAAACTATCAAATATATGATAAACTTTATGAGTGCTTAGTATATACCGAAGTATTAGTTGAATACAAGGTTATTAGGATTATTACATAAATCAAGAAATTTCTCTCCAATATGATTGTATATGCTTTGAGTATATGTACTTTACATGACTTTCTTTTTTGATGAGGTCATTCTTTTTATCTACTCTGAATTTGTCATCCTTTGAGGCAAGAGCCTGGTAGAGCTAGAATAATTAATAATTATTCCCTAGTAGCACTAATGGATATTCCCCCTCTGATAGAAATTACATCAAACAATTAGTAACTGATAAATGAGAAAAACTATTGAAAGAAGCCAGAAATAACAACGGCTTAAATGAAACAGGAATTTATTTCTCTCAAAACTGAAAGAAGTCTGGAAGCAGTCAACTATGCCTGATATGGAAGGCTATGGTTATTAATCACTTGGCTTCTCTTACCGTTTTGTTATGCCATCCTAGGGATTAATTTCCAACTGCAAGATTACCTCATAGTCCAAGAGGGCTACTGAGGTACCAGCCGTCACGTATTGGAAATAAAAAACGAAAAGAACAAAAGGGATGTTCATGCCAGTTAAATCAATTTCCATCAAGCTGGAAGTTCCACAGAACACTTCCAATTACATTCCAATGGCCAGAACATAAGCATATTCCCACACTTAGCTGCAAAATAGGTTGGTAAATATAGTATTCTATCTGTTCATAATTCTCCTTTCTGTTACTAAGGGATAAGAGAGAATGGATAGTGAAAAAAATTAACAATCTCTGTCACATCCATCCAAACCTAAAAATAGAAGATGATCTTTTGGATCATTTTAGATATCAGGTGAAATTATGTGACATTAGAAACATATGAAAATATGCAATACTTATGTAACTCTACATTTCACTTTAAAATGTCTAAGTCAGATGAAACTACCAGGGCATGTTCACAGAAGGATCAACAGGAGATAAGAAATATGGAAAACATAATTTCTGAGTAATAGTAATTTTTAGCTGTTATCAAGTACATAAAGAGTGGTAACCTAAAATTATTATAAAAAAGACAAAAGATAGCAAATGTTGACAAAGGGAACCCTTTCACACTCTGTGGGAATGTAAATTGCAATGTAAATTCGTATAGCCATTATGAAAAACTGAACTGAAGTTACTCAAAATTTAAAAATAGAACTACTATCTGATCCAGCAGTCCCACTTTGGGGTATATTTGCAAAGGAAATGGCACCTCAAATAGATATCTGCACTCCTGTATTCACTGCAGCATTATTCACAATAGCCAAGATATAAAATCAACCTAATTGTCCAGCAATAGATAAATAGATGAAGAAAATGTGTTCTATACATGCATACACACACACACACACACACACACACACACACACACACACACACACACACACACACCACACACCGGAATACTATTCAGCCTTAAAAAAGAAGAAAATCCTGTCATTTGTGGTAACATGGATTAACCTAGAGGACATTATGCTAAGTGAAATAAGCCAGGCAGCAAAAGAAATACTACATGATATCACTTACATGTGGAATCTGAAAAAGTTGAACTCATATAAGTGGAGAGTAGAAAGGTGATCGTCAGGGACAGGTGTGTGGGTGGAATGGGGGGAACTCAGTCAAAGGGTACAAAGTTTCAGTTATGCAGGATGAATGTACATCTAGAGATCTAATGTATGGTATGGTGACTATAGTTAATAGTAATCCATACTTGAAGCTTACTAAGAGAATATATCTTAAGCGTTCTCACCACAGGTACAAAAAAAGGTAACTGTGAGGTAATGGATATGTTAATTAGCTTGATGTAATCATTTCACTATGTGCATATACATTGTATGACCTTAAGTATATACATTTTTATTTGTCATTTATACTTCAATAAAGCTGGAAACAAACAAAAACAAACAAAAAAATCCTCAAAACAAAAAATTGTCCCCATCACCTTCTGGGTGTTTAGTAAATATTTATTTCATCCTAGTTTTCCAAATCTGAATAGTAGAGGACTATAAAATGTACACAGCATTAAAAAAAATAGCTGTAGCCAAAAGAGGAATTAGACTTATTCTGTAAGAACCAGGAGCAGCTTTTATTTCAACTGGAACTGTCCAATGATGAAAAAGTTTGCCTGGGGATGTATACAATTTCCCATCACTAGAAAAATTCAAGAAGAAGCTGAGCTTTTAGGAATTTTTTCAAAGAAACAACTGGAAAAGTTTGCAAAGACATATGATCATAATTTCAATGTTTAAAATATCATAAAATATGAAATAGCATATTTATTCAACAATAAAATATTGGTTGAATAAGTTATAGTAGGTCTATTGACAGACTATACAGGCTTTACTGTGACTATATATGAATACTTATTTATTGACAGAGAAAGAGGTCTGTGATATAAAGTAGATATAAATGAGTTATAGAGCAAACCTTGTAATTTTATATGTGTCTTTAAATAGATAGTTACATACCAAAGTCTAATCTAGACAAGAGATTGTAGGAACATTTTTTCTTAATAACATATACTAAAATATTGTCTAAATATTTGGCAACAAATATGGATAGTAATGGTTAATATATTTGAGGAGAAAAAAGCTAAAGGATCATTTGTCAGACAAGGTAGAAGGGATTAGGTAGGTTAGGATGATTGAACTTTACAGTTTCTTCCAACTTCTCTAAGATTAGATGATGCCAGAATTCATGTTTATGACCCAAATGCACTGGATGATTGCCAGCATCAGGAATTCACATGCCCGTAAATACTTAAGGGGAGATCCTGTGGGTGTTGCTGGTGGAGCTGAGAGGGGCTCAGTACCTGATCTCTGAGCTGTTCCAGTCCACGATTTTGGTGGTGTGCGCCACCACATTCTCTCTATTTTCACCCTAAATTCTTCAACACAGTGTTAGATAACTGACAGCTATGTTTCTAAGAAGACAGTCTTCCTAAACCTGTTTTATTTCTGTTCCCTCTTTCTTCCTTCAAAAACTATAATCCTGTACCTAAAAACATACTGGCTAGAAACTGACAACTTAAAATAGCTCCCTTACCCACAGTTGAAAGGAGCCTTGGCAAGAGATATGACTATCTAAAATCCTGTTCCTTTGAGAGGGGAGAAAATAACCACAATAATAGCAAACCTCGAACCCACAAAACTTCTAAAGGATGAAGAAAACAGGTGATTTTCAAAAATATTCTCTTAGAAAATGCAATAGTTTGTGATGGTAAAGAATGTGGCAGGCCAATATTCAAATTCAGGAAATACAGAGAATGCCACAAAGATACTCCTTGAGAAGAGAAACTCCAAGACACATAATTGTCAGATTCACCAAAGTTGAAATGAAGGAAAAAATATTAGGGGCAGCCAGAGAGAAAGTTCGGGTTGCCCACAAAGGGAAACCCATCAGACTAATAGCTGATCTCTTGGCAGAAACTCTGCAAGCCAGAAGAGAGTGAGGGCCAATATTCAACATTCTTGAAAATATTTTCAACCCAGAATTTCATATCCAGCCAAACTAAGCTTCATAAGTGAAGGAGAAATAAAATACTTTACAGACAAGCAAATGCTGAGAGATTTTGTCACCACCAGGCCTGCCCTACAAGAGCTCCTGAAGGAAGCACTAAACATGGAGAGGAACAACCGGTACCAGCCACTGCAAAAGCATGCCAATTTGTAAAGACCATCGAGGCTAGGAAGAAACTGCATCAACTAACGAGCAAAATAACCAGCTAACATCATAATGACAGGATCAAATTCACACATAACAATATTAAACTTAAATGTAAATGGGCTAAATGCTCCAATTAAAAGACACAGAATGGCAAATTGGATAAAGAGTCAAGACCCATCAGTGTGCTGTATTCAGGAAACCCATCTCATGTGCAGAGACACACATAGGTTCAAAATAAAGGGATGGAAAAAGATCTACCAAGCAAATGGAAAACAAAAAAAGGCAGGGATTGCAATCCTAGTCTCTGATAAAACAGACTTTAAACCAACAAAGATCAAAAGAGACAAAGAAGGCCATTACATAATGGTAAAGGGATCAATTCAACAAGAAGAGCTAACTATCCTAAATATATATGCACCCAACACAGGAGCACCCAGATTCATAAAGCAAGTCCTGAGTGACCTAAAAGAGACTTAGACTCCCACACAATAATAATGGGAGACTTTAACACCCCGCTGTCAACATTAGACAGATCAAAGAGACAGAAAGTTAACAAGGATATCCAGGAACTGAACTCAGCTCTGCACCAAGCAGACCTAATAGACATCTACAGAACTCTCCACCCCAAATCAACAGAATATACGTTCTTTTCAGCACCACACCACACCTATTCCAAAACTGACCGCATAGTTGGAAGTAAAGCACTCCTCAGCAAATGTAAAAGAACAGAAATTATAACAAACTGTCTCTCAGACCACAGTGCAATCAAACTAGAACTCAGGATTAAGAAACTCACTCAAAACTGCTCAACTACATGGAAACTGAACAACCTGCTCCTGAATGACTACTGGGTACATAACGAAATGAAGGCAGAAATAAAGATGTTCTTTGAAACCAATGAGAACAAGGATACAACATACCAGAATCTCTGGGACACATTCAAAGCAGTGTGTAGAGGGAAATTTATAGCACTAAATGCCCACAAGAGAAAGCAGGAAAGATCTAAAATTGACACCCTAACATCACAATTAAAAGAACTAGAGAAGCAAGAGCAAACACATTCAAAAGCTAGCAGAAGGCAAGAAATAACTAAGATCAGAGCAGAACTGAAGGAAATAGAGACACAAAAAAGCCCTTCAAAAAATCAATGAATCCAGGAGCTGGTTTTTTGAAAAGATCAACAAAATTGATAGACTGCTAGTAAGACTAATAAAGAAGAAAAGAGAGAAGAATCAAATAGACACAATAAAAAATGATAAAGGGGATATCACCACCGATCCCACAGAAATACAAACTACCATCAGAGAATACTATAAACACCTCTACACAAATAAACTAGAAAATCTAGAAGAAATGGATAAATTCCTTGACACATACACCCTCCCAAGACTAAACCAGGAAGAAGTTAAATCTCTGAATAGACCAATAACAGGCTCTGAAATTGAGGCAATAATTAATCGCTTACCAACCAAAAAAATCCAGGACCAGATGGATTCACAGCTGAATTCTACCAGAGGTACAAGGAGGAACTGGTACCATTCCTTCTGAAACTATTCCAATCAATAGAAAAAGAGGGAATCCTCCCTAACTCATTTTATGAGGCCAGCATTATCCTGATAAAAAAGCCTGGCAGAGACACAACAATAAAAGAGAAGTTTGGGACTTTTATACAAGCTGAAAACACATCATTATTCTCCCATTTAAAATACATCATGGGACATGGGCTCATTGTATTCAAAAGTTTACTATCTAAACCATTTTCAAGAATAACAAATGTTCCAAAATGTTCACATTGATAATACATGGGTTACTGAATTATAAATAATTTTTGTTCTTTATGACTTTTTTAACACTTCCATATTAAATATGTATTTCATTTAGAATTAGAAAAAAAAACGTGTTACTTGTGTCCTCCTTAAAATTGTGAATGAATAAATGTGCCCATCTGTATGCCCCTGAGGTTCTTCTAGAAATGCTGATGGGTTTCCACAGATCAGTCCACTCATACACTCTCACCTAGCTCTGCTCTTAACATATGAACCAAATGACTAGCTGGACTTCCACCTACATACAGCTTCTAGTTATGGAAAAGATCCATGCTAACTCCTTCTTGGATTTTCCCCACAATCTTGGCTTATGTGACAGGTTCTTGATAGCAAACGACTGTGCTTTGCATTAACCATACACACAAACACATGCAGGAATTAAAAAAGAGTTAACGCTGGTAAATATCTAAGAAAATATAGGAAAAGGCTAATAAGAATATGTTAGCAAGTATTATTTTAGATATAATCTGACGAGTGTAAGTAACTCTGAAGTCAAAACATGGATATCACATAGGACTATTTTGAGATGGGAATGATTGTTATATTATTGAGGAATTTTAATGAATAGTGAGCCCATTTGTTATTTATTGGCTTCCAAATGTTAATAAACAGCTCCAGTGATAATTGCTGATTTTTCTATATTTATGGAAAACTGGCATTTCATAAATATCAAATTGTGATATCATCTACTTGTATGCTGGTTTTCTATGAATATATAAATTTTGTAATTACCTCTAGAAGTGTGAGTTAATTTTTTTGTGTGTGGTTAAATCAAGAAGCAGAATGACAAATCTGTTAAAATGGTAGAATCTTAAACATCTTTTCCATTGTTCTTTTAAAGAATTTATCTAAAATTACACTATGAAGTAATAGAGAAAAAGCTAGGATACAAAATTTTTCTATTAAAGTCACCAAGATGTTCATCAAAACTAAGTCAACATGCAGGCATTTGACAAGGTTGTGCATAGAGCTTTCTCAAAAGACTGAAAGGTTAGGACGACTTTCTAGGTCCCAAATAATCAATGCTTAAAGGATAACAAATGTACGGAGGTTATACTAATTCAAACTAGTAGAGGATTTCTTTTTAAAAGGAAGTTTTAGCTTGTTTTAATTCTGGGGAAAAGAAATTCTCACTTGATATATTCACTATTAAAATATATTCTCTTGGATAGTACTGGCAGAAACTCTCCATTAATATTTATTTTTAGAACTTTAATCTATTTCATGGCTCAGTAGATAATTAATATTTAGTAAATGTGTGATCAGCTTCTTTTTTGTCTTATGGCTCCAATTCACTCAAGTCCTTGATATGCAGGATTTACTTTTATTATGATTTTTATAATGAGTATGTATTTTGCTTCACATCATGGTAAAATCCTTTATTATGGGCTGCAACCTCTTTTTCAAAGTTAATTCACATTAAAATAGAATGTTTTATTAATAGTAGCTAAAGGGAGAAGATGAGTCTTTGGCAAAAGAAACTTGATCTCCTATTTACAGGCTTGATATTCTAAAGTACATGAGACTGGCCAATACTGAAACAATAATTCCAAGTCATAACATATTTAAAAGGCTTAAAAGGATCTAGACCCTAATTTGAGCAGTATCAAAATTTTCTGTAATGCATAGTCCATGTGTATCATCCAATCATAATATTGAAGTGACTTTTCCCAGGGTGTTTAAATTCAACTGGATATTGACCCCAGTGCTATGAAGGATAGGTTTGGTGGTGATGAGGGCTCAGCTACTGTAAATAAATTCTGTCTTCTAACAGAGAGACCACTAATATGTCAAAAGCCATGCAGTCATGAATCTGGAAAGCAACTTCAAGATCAAAACTTCCCTTAATCGGAGGAATATATCATCTTGCAAATGACTTGGTGAAATGTTGGCATCGGTACCTGGATGAATCCTCTTTGCAATCCAGGTACTGATGCCAACATTATCTCCCATGAACATCATAACAGTAGGTGGAAGGGAGCACAAATGTGGAAAACAATCTGCTGAGATGGAGTTACAGCCTCATGAAAACAGCTAGCCAAACAGGAGTCTAGCCTGAGCTCATCATATCAGATAAATTTGTGCTTCTTCTTATTAGGGAATTAAAAATAATTATTTACATACTTAAATGAAATCATATATGGCCCAAATGAAATTTAGAATACAACAGAAGACATGGTTTCTTGGGCCAGTTTTCTGTGGCTAGAAACTGGTTAAAACATTGGCTATGGCTTTGGTCTTCAGAGTTTTAAAAAATAAGGTAACTAAATGATTTCCTGAGATGCATATGAACGTGAGTATTGATTACACCTCTGAGGATACCTGCATACCATCTCTGTGGTTCAGTAGCCCTCAAGTTCAGGCTCTAGAATGTGCATTGTTCACAACTGAGGAAAACCTTTAACTCTCAAAGTGTGGTTTGTGCTCAGGGCAGATACAGAATTTTTCTTAAATGGCCCCCTAAATCCTAACCCATGTGCTGCTGTATCAGTTATTTCTTTTCTTGTGTTTTTCCATTTGTATAATCTTTCAAATTGCAAATGGCTTTTTAAATTTCCTTTTTTGTTTTAGAACTCATGTCTTTTATTTTTTCCTACACAGTGGCTTTGAATATGTTTATGAAATTTTTTTGAGTGTCAGAGTTACATGAGATGGTTATTAATAAAGTTGCTTATGATGGGCAGAGATGACTTCTCTACCTGAAACCTCCACAAGAAGTCCAAACTTCAAACAATTCATGGAAGCTATCCATAATTTTATCCTAGGAACTGTCTTCATATAAGCAAAATCATGGTGAGTACTTATTCCTGTAATGTAAAATAGTCCAGTTACTATTTTAATCATCCTGCTTCTGTGGGTATCTCCGTAATTCAACATAAGTGGACTTGGTTTGTTAAGAAATAATGGCAGCCTCTAATAAATATCTTCTTTGTTGACTATTATCTTCATAGCCAATAAACAACTGGTTCAGATACTGCTTCACCCAGCCCTCACAGCACTCCTTAGGGGACCACTGTTTCAGGTTTTACTGTTGCTAAAATATTGATTTCCTAGTTGGCATTCTGATGTGAATCCACAAAACTTCTTGAAGGTAATGATGCTGGTTTTTTAATCTTGAAAATTTATGGGGCTGCATGTAAGTGAGATATCAACTTTTGAACCTATATTCATGTATAGATTTTTAGCTCAGCTTGCCCCTTAAAACTGAATATCACTAGATAACCCAGAGTATTGACTGAATCTAAATGATGGGTTCTCAGGAAGAGGTATGAGGCTCATTTCTCTTCATTGACTGTGAATTGAAGTGGGTACCATGAGTATGCAGGGCTCCAAATAACAATAACAATAGTAATACCTACTAACATTTATTGAGGACTCATTATAGATTAGCTCTTAATACTGAAACAACCGTAGGAGTTAGGTTATATTATTATTCTGATTTTACAGATGAGAAAATAATATTTATGGAGGTCAAGAAACTTCTCCAAGTTCAAAGAATGAGGCAGGGGCAGCCATGGCATTTAAACCTAGGTACTTGGATCCCAGAACCTATGTTCTTAACCACTCTGTCTTCTTAACAGCTAACCCTTTTTGTGAAATAGGACCTAGAGGTCCTCAAAGAACAATTCACTTGCTTGAAATAAAGGAGCATTTATTTTGTGTCCTTCACACTAGTATAGGAGTCTGAGATGAGCCTCATTCCAGGAAGCATGTCAGCGGGACCTTTCTCTTTGGGTCAGATGGAGGAGGAATAAGTTTTATGGAGTTCCACTTTCAGAAACAAAAGCAGAACAGGACACCAATGGGGTTTCCAGCTACCAACTCAGTTTGGCCAGGATATTAGGAATTATAGGATGGGACCATATTGTCTGAACTTGCTAACATTTCTGAAATTCTATAATTTCCCATGTTTCTTGTTTATAGTATTTCCTATTTTTTTTATGGCTATTGGTAGTAAAATCCTTAATATTGAGAGGATTTAATTTTGGAGTAGGGCTTGCATTTGGTAGAAAAGACTATTTTTTGGAGGAGGGGCTGGGTCACACTTATGCACAGCATTACTAACAACTCAAATCTTTACTCTTAGAAAGGCCAAAAACAGTAGTCTAATAAATGTTTGATTTCACCCTGTGGACATCCTTGTTTCCTCTGATTCTTTCTAGCCCTCTTTCTTCCAGGAAGAGCTAAACAGCACGTTCTCCAGGGTTTTGCTGTGTAGGGTATGATAGTAAGTTCCCTGAGAGCAAGTGGACTCAATGAATGCCATTAATTGCCCTGAGTTTCTTTTGCTTCTATCGATTTTATGGAATTCCTACTCTGTTTTTATATTCATGCAAAATGCTTTGCCCTTTTACTTAAATCCCTATGTAAGAGCCAGCAGAATCTTAGGAAAGGTCAGGATGGAAAAATTAGATATGGCATCAGAGAACAGTGCGATCAAATAAATCATACAGAATATTGCATTTTCATAGCAGTGCTTATTAGTTCAGTAAACGTGGTGGAAAGTGAAGGGGCTTTTTTTTTAATCTTTTTTTCCCCCAGTAACTCCTAAAAAAACACAACCTTCTCCCCCTCAAACCAAAACAAGCAAACTAACAACATACTGAGGAATACAAAGGTCTGATGTATGCAATGGGAGAATGTTCCCTAATCTGTAGCAGGTTATATATACAGGGGGCTGTCCACAAAGAAGGAGCCATCTTGGGGTATAAAGTATGATTTTTCACACTAAATATAATCACCCAAGGGATATATCTTTAAAAACTTTCAGAGCATTGCAAGAAACCAGCAGGCAACATTTTCAACCTTTTTGATGCCAGTGAGGCAGAGGATCTAGTTGTAAACTTAACTCTGAAAGGAATACAAAGACAGCTTCTCCCCTTCCTCCCAAACTAGTCATTTTCTGATCAAGGTTGATCCTGTGTCTTCAAGGTCCAAACTAGGCTAGAAAGTTACGGTCTAGCCCCAGTGGCATCCTTCACTCATCTTCTCCCAGGAGTGACCCTCTAATGATTGACCTAAAGCAGGGGTCAGCAAATGCATCTTGCAGGCCAAATCTGGCCCACCACCTGCTTTTGTATTTGGCCTGCCATCTGTTTTTGTACGACTTGCAGCTAAGAATGGTTTTTACATTTTTAAACGGTTGAAAAAAGAATCAAGGGATTTTTTTAGTGACACGTGGACATTATATAAAATTCCAATTTTAGTGACCATAAATAAAGTTTTATTGGAACATAGCCATGCCCATTTGTGTTATGTATTATCTCTGCTTTCACGCTACAATGGAAGACTTGAGTAGTGGTGACAGAAACTTTATGCAGCTTGCAAAGCCAAAAATATTTACTATCTGGTTCTTTACGGAAGCAGCTCGCAGACCTGTGCCCTAAAGCACTATTTGCCGCCACTGCAAAGGCTTTGAAACAACTGCAGCCAATTAGACTGACCACTGTGAGAATCGCTTGGCTTGCTTTGATCCTGTAGGTACAGCCCCAGTTGAAGTGCTTTAGAAATGTTCGAGCAGCATACTGTTCTGGAAGAAAAGGTCTGCAGGCTTTTCAGAAACAGAGCAGGAATTCCAGATCTAGGGGGATGCTTATGCCTTATTAAAGCCATTTTAATAAATTTGCCCCCGCCCCCCTGCCCAAACGGGGCTGCAGTGTAAGGCCGTGACAGTAATGTCCTGCACAACTTCAGGTTATGTCACTCATAAAGACTGTGATGTGAATGGTGTCCTCTTGAGTCCTACGCTGTAATGGCCGTCCTCCTAAAATCTGAGAGAAGAAATATCTGTAAATTAGGAGTGGAATAGTGAGTGGACATGTTAGAGTCTTAAGACAAGTAGATACCAAGACAGAATTAGATGTGCAAGAAATTTGTTCACGAAAACACCTGGGAGGGGGTAGGAATTGGTAGAGACACGATTAATTTGAGTTGAATGTCTGACACCTGTGAATGGAGAAAGGGACAGAAAGAGGATCAGGAAAGAGAGCCTCAGACGGCAATGAGCCTAGAAAGTCTTATCCGCGAGGATAGGGGTTTTCCTTTTATGGGAGTCCCTCCCTTATAAGTTCCTGGGCTGATTTCCCCTTCTTTACTCAATCATCATTTAGGAGCAACCTGGAGAGAACGTGACCTTAGCAAGAATACCACAGTGGATCCAAAGGTTCTCAAAGTGGATCCAAAGGTTTTCAAAGTGGATCCAAGGTGTCTTAACTAGAAGCTGCATACACTCCTCAGGGCTCGTTTTCTCTTAAAGGGAGACCTGAGCAACATATGCCCATGGCCACCACAGCAATTGTGAATGAAGTGTGTGTGTGTATTTGAGTGTGTCACTTGGAAAATGGAGGGTTAATTGCAGGGCAAAGATGTGAAGCCACAGCCTGGAGTTCCCCTGGTTCGGTTCCATTAGCCTGCAAATCAAGTATGTCATCTGCAATCATTATATAGAGTCTTTGTGCCCCGGCATTGCAGAAGGTCTAATAGCTGCAGTCACTTCTAATCAGGAGATACTGATAAAGTCACTCATACTTCCTGTAAAGTCCCTAACTATACCAATATTGTTCCAAATTTTCCAAATCCAACCCTGATTTCCCAGATTCCTTTTCCCACAACCCCTTTCCCTTTGGGGAAATCAAAAGGTACTTCCCATAGGCTGGTCAAAGATCTTTTTAAGCCTCACATGGCCCACAACACCCCCTTATGTGGGAGGGAAATACTGCTTTTTCCAAGCACAGGCATTTCTATGATATATTTTTATCCTTATACACTCTTGAGAGGTAAAAAGGATAGGTATTATTTTACTCATTCTACAAATGAGAGCTCTTAAGGCTCAGAAATTAAATAATTTTCTAGAGGAGAACTCAGGTGTTTCGCTCCTGGCCCTTTACCCCTTTCATGGGACCAAGCCGTCTTCTGTGGAAATAAGCCCCTTACCAGGTGATGAGAGCAACATGTCAGGGTTTGTGCTGACCTGTGGTCTCTAACTGGAGAGATATCCCAGTGTAATGTTTCCTTTCCAAGGAAGCTTTGTTATGTTGATCTGTAAAGTCACCTAAAACTATAGCCATATGTGCTTTACTTCAAAGTTACAAAGATAGAATTCCTAGAAAAAGAATATCATACCAGCAAAGAACAAATATGGTGCGAAAGTATGCCCCACCCCCAGAAATTTATCCTTCAAGAGAGAAAATAGGATAAAAATATGATGAAATGGTATAACTGAGTAACAATTTAAGGAAAAAAATAAAGCTGACTCCTTAAACAAAATATATTTTAGAGGGAGCAAAGATTTACATGTGAGAAATAAAACCATAAAATACTAGATTAAAATATAGGAGAATAATTGTATAGCTCTGGGTAGAGGAGGTTCTTTCTATGCATGATAAATAACACAGAAGCAAATACTGATGGAGTAAGATTCTCTATTGAACCACTGTTTCTCTGATTCCATTGTTGCCAAATAATCTGATCATGATTCATGTCTCCATGTAGTTGTAAATTTTTATTGAGCATTTACTTTTATTGTCATAAACATTTTAAGTGAATTTCTTCATTTATTTATCACAATAACCTCATGAAAAATACCCTATTACTGCACCAACTACCCTGATTTGGACACTATGGCATAGAGGGTTTAATTGATCAGAATCCTGCAGTCAGTGAGTGGCAGATAAGATGTGAAGGCCAGGCCTACCTGACGCCAAGTCTCCTGTTCTTTTACACCAGATTAATTTTACTATAGAAGAATGTGCTGAAAGACTGTGCTGAATTCCTGATTCACTCAAAAATTAGATTTCTTATGGCAAACTAATAAACAGGCATTTCCTTTATTATCTTCTCAGGCTCAATCAACATAAGCTCAACTCCAGTTAAGGAATCAGCTTTATTAGTGAGTCCAATCAATGCTGGGTGCACAGACAGAACTAATGCTCTCAGTTTGCAAAGATGTGGCTCGGGACTCAAGATGAAGAACATTGTTGAAGGAAATGACTGTATGGTCCAGAGTTGCTATCTTGCCTCTCCTGATGACAACTTTATATTATCTTTTCTACTATAAATACTTTTTAAAAAATAGACTAGAGTAGTACTTTCTTTAAAAAAAAATAGACTTTTTAAAACAGCAGTTTTAGGTTCATAGCAAAATTGAGCAGCATGGTGCAGATTCCCATAGATCCCTGACTCCACATGTGCATAGTCTCCCTCACTGTCAATCTCCCCCACCAGAGTGGTACATTTGTTACAACTGACGAACCTACATTGACACATCATTGTCACCCAATGTCCACAGATTATATTAGAGTTCGCTCTTGGTGTTGTACATTTGTATTAGTCCATTTTATGTCACTGTAAAGAACTTCCTGAGGCTGGGTGATTTCTAAAGAAAAAAAATTTATTTTGGCTCATGGTTCTGCAGGCCATGCAGGAAGCATGGTGCCGGCATCTGCTTCTGATGAGGGCCTCAGGAAGCTTTATATTTATGGCAGAAGGCAAAGGGGAGCCAGCATGTCACATGGAAAGAGTGGAATCAAGAGACAGAGAGAGCGAGGAGGGGCCACACTCTTATATAACCAGATCTTGCATGAACTAACAGAGTGAGGACTCACTGTTTACCATGAAGATGGCACCAAGATGTTCACAAGGGATCTGTCCCCATGACCCAATTACCTCCTACCACACCCTACCTCCAATATTGGGGATTACATTCCAACATGAGATTTGGAGGGGACAAACATCCAAACCGTATCAACACTCTATGAGTTTGGACAAATATGTAATGACATGGATACACCAATATGGTATCATACAAAATAACTTCACTGCCGTAAAAATCATCTGTGCTCTGGCTATTAATTCTTCTCTCTCCCAACCTCTGGCAACTACTCATCTTTTTACTCTTTCCGTAGTTTTATCTTTTACAGAACGTCATATAGTTAGAATCATACAGTATGCAGTCTTTTCATATTGGCTTCTTTCATTTAATAACATGCATTTAAGTTTCCTTTAGGTGTTTTCATGGCTTGATAGCTCATTTCATTTTAGCACTGAATAATACCCCATTGTCTGGATGTACTATAGTTTACCCATTCACCTGCTGAAAAATATCTTGGTTGCTTTCAGGTTTCAGCAATTATGAATAAAGTTGCTATAAACATCCATGTGCAGGTCTTTATGTGAACATGGTTTTCAACTTGATTAGTATTTTTAAATGGGCAAACACATAGCAGATAAAACATAACATGGCTAGCAGAGAGGAGGTTGCTAATCTGATGTGTAAAAGCCCTTATAGTGAAGTAAATTTCTGGCTTCAAAAGGGTCATAATATTAGCCAAATGTCCCCATGCTTATTTTAACATGGCATTACACAGTGCACATGCAAAAAATTGGTTGATTGGAGAACAATTAACATGAAATTAAGCTTGAAGTTTGATGACCCTCCAAAAGAGCAACTTAAAGGCAGATTTGGTGTGCCCAAAAACCATTGTTTTCTGGTGATTTGACAGTGTTGACCTAAGTCAATTCAGAGCTTTAGGTGACACACTGTACTCTGACAATTTACTACACACTGCATCGTGGTTGTTTGTCACAGCTTTCTGAAATCAATAAATATAGCACTGGCAAATGTTTCTGGCAGGGGAATTGTTTTCAGTAAATTCTAGAAGGGCAGCTGCTGAGTGGCAAGAAGGAAGCCAGAACTAGAGTGTTGCCACTGACCTTAGAAAAGCGTCAATTTCCAAGCCCTGATCCTGACCATAAAGAATGTTTGCTGCACAAACAGTGGATTGATTAATATGTTGACAGAAGGGGTAATTTTGAAACATGTAGCTAGAAGGTTCCTAGAATGTACTGAGACAAAATAAGTGTACCTTTTACCAAGTATGCAACAAATGATATTACTGGTTAGTGATTACAGAAAGTTACAAACATGGCTTGTGTTCTCTGCAGTTTTTCTAGCACATTTGGCTTGCTGAAAGAAGTTTCAGGCTCTGTCTCCTTCTGTAGACACTCACTTCCTAACCCTGTAAAATCTGGCTTCTGCCCTCCCATGCTACTGACAGTGTCCTCTTGAGTTACCTTCCAAATGTCATATTCCACTTTTCTTTTTTTTTTCTGCTCCTCTCCTTGACCTCTCTGTCATTTGATAACATTTACCACTCCTTTTCTGAGTGTCTCTTGCCTCAGGTTTCGTGACGTGATATCCTGCTATTTCTATCCCTCAGTTATACCTGTTTCTTCCATGAATTTATTTTCTGCCTCAGATCTCCTACGTGTGGCTGTCCGCCCAGGTTTTAGACTTGGTGCTCATCTTTTCTCTCTGCACCCTCTGCCTCTGCAGCCTCATAGTCCCCTGTGGCTCTAACCTCACACTAGTGAAAGTCTTTTGAGCCTGGGTCTCCAGCCTCCTAAACTCCTGCTGCACTTCCTGGTACCAACACCCTGCCAGAGACTTCCCATGGACAGTCCACCCTGTTCTGTTATTGGTTTCCCATTTTAGTTTCACTTCTTACCTCCCAAGTTAAATGTCCTATTAGTTTATCAACATATCAGCCTCTTTTCTCCCAGCCACCTCCTCTACACGCGACTTCCATGTTTTTACTAGAGGTGCTGCTTAAGCAGCTCATGCTACAATCAGGAGTAACAAGTGCCTAATTTGCCTTTTCAAATACCATGTGAACAGCTAAAATAACCAGATAAACATGGAAGCAGCTATATAAAGCCTAGGCGGTGTCAGTTTGCATCCTCCAATTTAGAGAATAAAAAGAGGAATTTTTGCTTATTTTATTGTAGAGGCACAAGGCCAACCCTAATCTAATTTTGGGGCATTAAACCATCCTCCAGAAAGTCTCGGCAATGCCAAGGAAGATCCCAGAAATTATGATTGATATACAAGGTGGTGCCAGGGCTTGGATATTTTAAGACATATTCTTTATTTGAGGACTCCTTTATAAGGGTGTCCCATTCACAGCTTCTCTGTCAGTTTCTTTTTAGTTCTTACATTTTTTACTTTATTTCCAGTTATCAAATGTCCTTGGAAAGATCAATAAAAATATTGAAAATAAGGTAGGCCTGGGAGGGTGGGATTTGGGGTGGTGGTAATCAATGGTAGATGACATAGTGAGAATTGCTCATCTTTGGGCTGGAATGAGATAAGGTCAGGCCACAGCAGGGGTCTGTCACTGCCCAAGGCCCCAGGTGAGGAGCAAAGAGTATAGATTGTATAGAGAAGAGCCTGTATGCTGGGAAAAGCAGCAGGCTGGCTAGCTTTGAGCACAGCTACGAGAAAGATTTCTGCTTCACATCATAGGTATATGAGTCCCAAAATAGTTTTGGGGATATTTATAAGAAAGGAAGTCTGAGGATACATGGAGGTTTAGATTAGGTAAATAACCTTGGAAATACCATGCTTCATTCAAATTAAGAAAGAATAAATGCTGTGACTTAATGAACATATAAATTTTAAGAAACACATTTCAGAGATGTTCAATTGTTTTTTTTAAAAAGTAGGTCTAGGAATTGATAGAATATAGTTAAAGCAGTTGATCAAGAAAAAAAAGGAGACTACACTAAAGAGAAATTTCTTTTTAACTCCCTGCCACTTCAGGTGGGCTGCTAAGATGAAACAGTACTGTAGAAAATCTATAATTCATGAAAGGTGACATTCTTTGGTTGACACTGTGAGTTAACTGAATCCTTCCATCACCTGTGATTTTGAGGCAACTTCTAATCTTATAAGAGAAATTGTTTTTTCCTAGGAAGAACAAATGAAAATGTATCAGAATATAACTTTGTTCCTTGATATTTTAAAGAATTTACATTTCTTAAAAAATTAAGAGACGGTTCAACAGGAGACCTTTACAAGTGCAGTCCATCAGCTATCAGTTAGCAACACGCTTCTACCTTCAGATGCAACTCAATAAGAAGCTGCTCCCTCAGTGGGTATAATCTGGGAAGGGTGTTCTTTCCTCACGTCCTGACAAAGCAGAAATCACACCATATGGCGATTTCCATGAATTTTGACTGATTTCAAGCCAAGGTGATAGTAATTTCCCACTGGGCTAGGTTAGAGCGAACACTGCCACCGATCAGGCGCATACACGAGCAGTCAATAGACAAAGTCTGCTTCTAAATTAGAAATACAAGTTTTCAAAGCTGTTTTTCTGACTTACGTGTCTGCACCTGATTTCCATGGTCCTTGATTACTGCGGCTCTCTAACAAATCCTTCCAAATGCTTCCAGTGCTAAGTTGCAAATGATTTGGGTGACACCTGGGTTTGGGCGCCTGCACTGAGAATGAGTGCTCAGGAGATCAAAGGCCACCTTGGTCTGGACACTCTCAGGTCCAGCACAGTTCAGGAGTCTCATTTTTGAACCATTCCTGAACTATTCACTAGATTCTTTAAAAGAGAAGTTTGAGGAGGTTTCTACCCAAAGGATGGTGAGGGGATTAGTTAATAACCCATATCTTTCCTTCCAATTGCCAGTAAAATCTAGAGTACCCTTTTTGGTGCAGACGTATCTTCCCCTATTAAGTCTCTTACTTCATGAAGGAGAAAGGAGCAGCAACTAGGGTGATGACTTGTTTTGATAACATCAAAGTAAGTGGAGAAAAAAGTGAGTCTTTTTTTTCTCTAAGTGACACACATCATAAAATTATAATCTTGTACTTTTGGTTTTGGTGTTAGAAGCCCAAGAGAGATGCTTTTATTGAAAATGTAATTCCTGAACACTTGATATCAGATATCAGATAGCAATATTTTGCTTTATGGCATTTTGCTAAGCTATGGTTTCCAGAGTCACTTCAGTATGTTTTTCCCCAAATTCTACTGGATAAAAAATGAGGATTACAATGCCAACATTCAATTCCATTTTTATACAAGTGTCGTTAATGTCTCTGATATGTACCATTGCCATACTTATGTTTGAGGACTGAAAATATAAATGAAACTGAATTCTTAAGAAGTTGCTTTGATCAAATTTTTATACTCTAAACCAGTAGTGATAAAGCAATATAAAAACTGCACACAGTTTCAACCTTCTCCTGTTTACTAATAAAAGCAGCATTTTTATGCAATCAAGCTTTTGTGTTCTGAGGTGAACGTAATATAATGATTGCATTTGCATTTTCAAGTATTGATCATGTTAGCATCTTTTGTAGCACACCTGTGAAATTTATACTTCGGAAAAAATTGCTTTGCAACGTGAGCAGACTCCATTATAGTTTAGTTGTCTTAGGGTAGCGTTATGGAGTTGTGGTTTAGAGCACAGGTAGGCCTTGGAGTCAGACAGAACTGGGCTAAATCTCAGCTTTGCCACATCAGCTGTGTGACCCTGAACACATAAATTAACCTTTCTTAACCTCAGTTTTCCCATCTGGAATGGAGTTGATAGTAATGCCTACTTATAGGACTGTTTGGTGATTAGATGAGAAAATGTATGTAAAGCACTTACCATAGAAACATGGACTCAATGATATTAACTGCCATTCTGTTTGTGATAGTGGTGCTTCTGATGGGGTCATCATAATATAACTAGTACAAAAGTCAGACTGGTTGTCTCTGACTCATATATGGGGGGAGACTTAAACCCATGGAGGGAAATGGTCTTTAGTATGGGAGAGAAGAGATAGCAGGGAGGAGGTTTTCTGCATATGTAGACTTGGATTTGTTCTGTAGCATCGGAGCAAAAGGTTTGTCTTGCAAAATAAGTAGGATGGAAAAGAGAAAAGGAAAGAGATTGTTCCCGGATGATGCACTGCAAACAAAACTGAGAGAGATGGGACATTGCTTACAGGGTTTCAGTCTCAGTACGAATCTCAGGAATCCTGCATGTGAAATTCATGTGGGGACTTGTGGTTTATTTAGGCTAAACCATCTTTGACAATTTATTTTTTAACAGGCAAATTTTTCTCTTTTCTTACTTGAAAAACAGCATAAATGGTTACCCCTTCAGCAAACCTAGCTTCATGGGAGGACCAAGATCACTGGTGATTTTGATTCCCACTCTATTTCCTCAAGTATAAAAATAACAGGAGTCAATCACAGAAGTTCTTTATTTTGGGGGTTCTTAATTTTGGGAATATCATAGACTACCTTAAAAATTTGATAAAGTTTGAGTTCTCTCACCCCAGAAAAAATTTCAAACATACAACTGTAAATATGATTTTGTGTACAACTATGGGAGTCCCAGGTTCTGATAAAGCACGCTCAATAGACTCTGGGTTAACAGCCCCTGATAGGGTTATTCCTAGCCATTTCTCTTAGTGTACTCTTTCAAATACTCTCACCTCATATCTTCAGGATTGTGAGTGTGAGGGGAAGAGTTAATGTTGTGAATACATTTTTTTCTTGCCTAAAATTGGTCTAGACTTGCTTAAGGGGATACGTATGTGGGATTTGCCAGGAAAGGTGGAAATATATTCTGACTAGGCTAGAGTGTCAGGTGGACTTGATAATGAGCTTTGCAAGGATCTCTTGGACCTCATTCCGCTCATGCATCTCCTTGCTCACTCAGCTGCAGCCACCCTGGCCTCATTGAAAAAGCTCTCACATGCCAAGCACACTCCAGCCTTACGGCCTTTGCTCTTGCTGTGCCCTCTGCCTGGAAAGCCCATCCTTCCTACAACTCCTATACATAATTCAGGCCTTCGCTCCAATATCCACTTCTCAGAGAATTTCTCTGGCCATCCCATCTAAAAGAGCACCAGTCACTCTCCATGCTCTTTCTTGCTTGTTTTTTTTCCTCCAAACTTATCACTACCAGACATTGTTATGCTATATCTATTTGTTCACTATTTTCCACTGTTCTACTACAGTGCTCTTCTCACCCACAGTCTACAGGCAGCCAAAGTCTACTCCTTATGGTTCCCAAATAGTCTACACAACTTCATGTTTCATTTTCATGTTTCGCAGAATGTTTTCTCACCCTCCAATCATAACTGCACCACCCATAATGTTTTCTTCCACAGAGAAAAATTTTACTCATACTTGAAGGTTCACTTGAAGTGTCACCCTCTCTTCTTAGCTTTCCTTGAATTCTTCCCCAGCCATTGCCATGACAGAAATCAATTTAAATTTTGTCTTACTCCATACTTTTATAAATAGTATTAAAATAAAATCCAACATATCACATGGTATCATAATTATCTGCATGCATTTCTGTGTGCCCTGCCAGGCTGTGAGCTTCTTGAAGGCAGGCACTGAGTCTTTGTTTTTGAGGCTCCTGTGCCTTGCATGGGACATGGCTCATTGTAGGCCACACAGAGAAGTTAGGCTTGGATGGAACTGGAAAATTGACAGGTTCTTCAGGCAGAAGTGTTTGGGAAGAGCCATCTAGATAGAGTGAACAACACAGGCAAAGACACTGAGATGTGGAAGAAATGACTTGTGGGAGCTAACTGTTGGGAAATGGATTTATTAGGGGTACTGTGAGGTGAAGTGGCTGGACAGTAAAGTTGGGTGCTGTATTAGTCTGTTTTCACACTGCTGATAAAGACATATGCGAGACTGGGCAATTTACAAAAGAAAGAGGTTTATTGGACTTACAGTTTCACATGGCTGGGGAGGCCTCACAATCAAGGTGGAAGGCAAGGAGGAGCAAGTCACATCTTATGTGGATGGCAGCAGGCAAAGAGAGAGAGAGCTTGTGCAGGGAAACTCCCAATTATAATACTGTCAGATCTTGTGAGACTTATTCATTACCACGAGAACAGCATGGGAAAGACC
This sequence comes from Homo sapiens, assembly GCF_000001405.40. Classification (NCBI taxonomy): domain Eukaryota; kingdom Metazoa; phylum Chordata; class Mammalia; order Primates; family Hominidae; genus Homo; species Homo sapiens. The sequence continues at coordinate 99,026,576 of NC_000006.12, read as the reverse complement.
TGCCCCCATGATTCAGTTACCTCCCACTGGGTCCCTCCTACAACATGTGAGAATTCAAGATGAGATTTGGGTGGGGACACAGCCAAATCATAAAAGGTGCATACCACCAAGAGCCTATGTATGGTCTGTAAGGGAAATGGCTGAGCTTTAGTCACGAGTAGGCCGAGGCGGCCTTCTGGAGCCTCATGACTCAGTGGGTTTGGAGCGCAAGTGCACAAACCCACATATTATGTAACCATGCCACATGAGGTGCATTGGTTGATCACCCATGTGAGCTCATGCTTGGCTCAGAGCCACTATTGTCTGTAAAAGTTATAATTACCCTGCTAACGCTGTACATGCAGCTTGCTCACACCCAGAGAGAGAGTAAAGCCATATTGAAGCTGCCTACGATTCCTTGAGTGTTTTTCTAGCTACCCGCCACTTGCCCACTGACTCCCCTTGGTCTTTGGTTATAACCTGATAATTGGCATTGTGAATAGAATCCTGAGGGGAGTGCACCTTTGGTCCACACTGATTCCCGGTTGGCCATGTGGTGGCAACACAGGTTGTGGTACCCAGTGTCAGCTGTGCTGGTCGGATGGGCTCCACTGGAAACCTGGGCAGTGGTAGATGGGTCCCCCGCGAGCATGGAGAAGGTGTTGAAGCAGCTGGAAGCACAGAGCACTGAGAAGGAGTGAGCCTTTGCCTGCAGAGTTGGATGGGCATTTTTGATTGCACTATGAGAAGCACACACCCAGTACCTGAGGGATGCAGTGCAGTAAGGGCCCTCCAGGCACAGGCAGGGTGCCTGGAGGCCTGGCTACACAGCTCAGAAAAAGAGTTAGAAGCTGCTGTGAATGGGGACCTCCAGGCACAGGTGGGATGCCTGAAGGCCTGGCTACACAGCTTGGAAAAGGAATTAGAGGCTGCTGTAAATGCAGGCCTGGGTCCGTCATCTTGGCCAGAGACCCCCACTGGGTCTGATGCCGAGGAGGAAGAACCTCTGTTGCAGGCTTGCCCAGTGGTCTGTCAGAAGGTAGATCATGAACAGCCACTGGGGCTCGAAGGGCAGGCTTAGGGATCCCCCCACCATAACGCAACATACTTCATATACTGCCTATACCCCAACTGAGTTGTGGGAATTAGGCAAGCAGTGCAGCCAGCTTCCAGGAGAACCTCTGCCCACCCGGATGCTTCGTTTGTGGGATGAGGGAGCAGATAGTATCTCCTGTTCTGCCTCTGAGATGGAAAAGCTGGCCTCTATCATAACTCACTCATCCCTCTGTCAGTGGTTGCAGGTGAGCAGGCCGTTGGCACAAGAGCAACATGACCACACTCTGATTGAGTGGCAATGGGCAGCCATACGGACTGTGTGGAATGACGCTGGTGAAATACCCAAAACTGAGAGTAAATGGCAGTCGTATGCCAATTTGGTGGAAGTCATCCAGGAGATGGGTATGCAGCAGGCTATGTTTTACCTGAATACCTGGGGGCCAGATGATGAACATTTCACCTCCCACATGAGGGATCTCATGCCTTTGGTTCCCTATCTGCGGCCTTCACCCTATATGTAGGGCACCACATACATGAAGTGACCACTGCTATGGCGGCTCTTGGGGAAGCAGAAGGCTATTGATGGGATTGAGGGGTCTGTGCCATGAAGAAGGGGAAGATGCCCTGCCCTGCCCTCAGGGGCCCCCCATGGGAGAAAAGGGGGCCCCAATGAGTGATATGCTCACAGATGTGGATAGATTTGATTTTGGACAGGGTTGAATGAGAGAAAAATAAAAAAGCAGCCCAATAAAGTACTCTTAACTTTGTGGAGACAATTGTCTCCGGAGCAGCAATTCCAGAAAAAGCCAAGGGGGAGAATGACATTGCTGTGCAACTGGGTCCCACCTGGGTGCTTTAGCTCAAAGACTACGTGCTGCATCCAGCTGGAAATGTAGAGCCTTTTCTGTTTGATTAAGGAACTGGCTGAGGTGCCCAGCTTGCGGGACACTGGACAACTAGAGGCCACATGTGGAATTAGTGATCCATTGGTACCCCACCAATGTACAGTGGATGCTGGTGCTGGTGGATACTAGTGCAGCTTGCAGCCTTGTTTATGGGAACCCAGATAAGTTTCCAGGCAAACCTGCTTACATTGACAGTTATGGAGGCTGGCCAGTGAAAGTGAAACCTATATCTCTGCATCTTGGCCATTGCCATTTGGCTCCCCATTTATATATAGTGTATGTCTCTCTCATACCGGAATACAGTCTGTGAGTGGACATTTTACATGGCCTGGTGTTACAAACCACAGCCAGAGAATTCAGACTCTGAGTGCATTTGGTGAAGCTGGTGCTGTGTGTACATATGAATCACCAGCCTCAGGTCCTGCCACAACCCCTGTGGGTTACTTCCACCCATCAATACCATTTGCTGGGTGGGCATACAGAAATAACTGAGACAATTAAAACACTGGAGGAAGTGCAGATAATGCGCGACACCCACACCCCCTACAATTCTCCAGTGTGGCCAGTTAAAAGGCCTGATGGAACTTGGCAGATGATGGTGGACTATCAGGAATGGAATAAAGTAACACCACCTTTGCCTTTGCATGCAGCTATACCATCAATCATGGATTTGATGGACTGTTTGATGACAGAACTGGGACAGTACAACTATGTAATGGACTTGGCAATGCATTTTTCTCCGTAGACATCACTCCAGAGAGCCAGGAACAGTTTGCCTTTACATAGGAGGACAATGGACTTTTACAGTATTGCCACAGGGCTATGTGCACAGACCCACCATATATCATGGTCTAGTTGCCATGGATTTAGCCACCTGACAATGTCCAGAAGAGGTCCGCCTATTCCATTATATTGATGATATTATGTTAACCTCTAATTCTTTTGCAGATTTATAAGTGGCTGGACCCCTCTTGCACCAACGTTTGGCAGCATGTGATTGGGCTGTCAATGAATCCAAGGTCCAAGGACCTGGATTATCTGCCAAATTCTTGGGAGTTACCTGATCAGGTAAGACAAAGGTCATCCCAGAGGCTGTCATTGATAAGATTCGGGCATACCCCCAGCACACCATGGTGAAGCACCTGCAAATTTTTATGGGCCTCCTAGGATATTTGTGGGCATTTGTCCCCCATTTAGCTCAAATGATAAAACTGTTGCATTGGTTAACAAAGAAGGAGCCACCCAGGATTGGGATAATGCAGCTGAGAACACCTTCCTGGCAGCGAAGCAGGCTATTCAGCAGGCACAAGCCCTATGGGTAGTTGATCAGGGGTGTCCGTTTGAGCAGGATGTGCATGTGACTACAGATGGTTTCGGCTGGGGCCTGTGGCAGTGTATGGAGTGCTTAAGAATGCCGGTAGGCTTTTGGTCCCAACTATGGAAAGGAGCTGAGCTGTGGTATTCCTTGACAGAGAAACAGCTAGCAGCTGTATATGCCACCCTTCAGGCTTGTGACAGTGTGACAGGATGGGCTGCAGTCATCATGCAGATGACTTACCCAATGGCAGGATGGGTACATTCACTCATCCCAGACTGGGACAGCAAAGACATCCACTTTCGCAAAGTGGGACACCTACTTGGAGTAGCAAAGCATGCTGAGTACAAGTCCTTTAGCAACAGAGTTGCAAGAGGTCTTGGGACCTGTAGTCCTAGTGCAAGATAAGGCCATGGGGCCTGAGACACCCCTAGAACCTTAGCTTTCACCATTTAAGGAAGGGCATACCCCTCTTCCTGATGGGGCATGGTACACAGATGGGTCCAGCTGAGATGCTACTGCTGCCTGGACTGCTGTTACAGTCCAACCTAGTACTGACACCACATGGTTTGAAACTGGGTATGGACAAAGTAGCCGATGAGCTGAACTTAGAGTAGTATGAATGGTGATCACCAACGAGGTGACACCTGTGGTAACCTGTACCAATAGCAGGGTGGTCTAGCAAGGCTTAACCTTGTGGTTAACTACCTGGAAAATACAGAAGTGGCTAGTTGGCCACTGACCCATTTGGAGCCAAGCCATGTGGCAAGACCTCTGGGAAATGGGTCATCAGAAAGAGGTAACTATTTATCATGTGTCAGACTGTAAGCCTTTGGCCACCGCTGGCAATGATGAGGCAGATGCCTTGGCCAAGGTTTGATGATTAGAGTTGGCACCTACACGAGATGTGCCCATGTGGCTACACTGGAAACTGGGACATGCGGGGGGTAAACTGATACAACAGTTCAATAAGCATTGGGATCTGTCCCTGCCCACGCGAGTCATTTGGGAGGCTTGTCAGAAATGTCTGGCATGTGCTCAGGCATACCCTAAACAGAGGCAGCTGCCCAGTGTTACACAAGTAATGATAGGACAAGTGCTCTTGGCCAGGTGGCAAATAGACTACATTGGGTCACTACCGACATCGCAAAAGTATACACATGTGCTAACAGCTGTGGGCACGGCCACAGGCCTGTTGTTCACCTAGCCTTGCAGTATGGCTGACCAACAGAATACCATCTGGGCCCTGAAATGTGTATGTGCCCTCTATGGTCGCCCTCTGGCTACTGAAGTGATAGAACACATTTCACTGGATAACAGGTACAACGATGGGCACAAAAAATGAATATAAAGTGGGGATTCCATGTGCCATACAATCTGCAAGCTGCGGGTATGATTGAGTGATATAATGGGCTCTTGAAGAATGGGTTACACTTGCATGTCACACCGCCATCTTTGTGGGGCTGGGGCTCCAGGCTGGAACTGGTGCTCTAAACCTTGAATGAACGGCCACAGAAGGGTGGCCCGGCCCCATGGAGGCTTTGTTACATTGGGCTGCTGCCCCCGTTCAGTTGCAGATACATACCAAAGATGATCTCCTCCGACCAGGTATGGGGACGAAAAGTAATCTGTTTTTGCCTGCTCCAATGCCTCTGAAGGCAGGGGAACAGAAAACCTGTGGCCATGGGCCTTCCAAGCCCCCCACTGCCAGTGGATGGCCATTGTAGCTCCCTGGGCAGAGGACCTACAGTGACTTGCATGTCACTCCTTGGGTGTTCAATACACGGCTCCTGCAGTTGGCTGTTCATAGGGGAATGGCTATGAAGGAACCCTTCTCCGGGGGACATATGTACAGTCTGTGTGGCCTACTATGAGCTCCCCTGTGACTTTGGCATGGATACAGGACTCAAAGGAACCATGGGGAGTTGAGAAGGTGTGGTATCATCGCCCAGGGCAAAAGCCCTTGGCAACTGCATTGTATCCAGGGATGAAAGGTTAGCCTGTATTTTGCCTGAGGGACATGATTTTCCTGTTAGTACCTGTGCCTGTTCTGTCATTTCGACCGTAGGTTAACATGCTCCAACTGCATTGTGGACTGGGCCCACACCTACACTGCAGTGACCAATGTTTCCGACTGTTGGATCTGCACCGCCCTTCCAGCAGCAGCAGCGAATGGCTTGTCTTGGCACATACATTCAGCATCTGCAGAGAACTGGACATAACCAGATACCTGGTGACCCATGGTGGATCCTTGGGACACAACCCAGCAAACTTTGGACAAAGGACCCCACAAGTCCCACAGCACACTCACCGCTTGGCTGGCCCGTGGCGTTTATGATGAATGGAGCTGTGTGGATGGTTAATATTGAGTATCAACTTGATTGGATTGAGGGATACAAAGTACTAATCCTGGGTGTGTCTGTGTGGGTGTTGCTAAAGGAGGTTAACATTTGAGTCGGTGGTCTGGGGAAGGCAGATCCACCCTTAATCTGTGGGCACAATCTATTCAGCTTCCAGTGAATATAAAGCAGACAGAAAAACATGAAAAGGAGGGACAGGACTAGTCTCCCAGCCTACATCTTTCTCCCGTGCTGAATGCTTCCCGTGCTGAATGCTTCCTGGCCTTGAACACTTGACTCCAAGTTCTTCAGTTTTGGGACTTGGACTGGCTCTCCTTGCTCCTCAAGGTTGCAGACAGCCTATTGTGGGACCTTGTGATCATGTAAGTTAATACTTAATAAACTCCCATTATATATCCTATATATTCAAGATATATATGTATGTTCTCTAAGAGAACCCTGACTAATACAGGCTGACTAGTGGGGTAACATGTAGTACCCCTGGCCCAGGTGCCATGATGCATAGAGCAACATTGGGGTAACACCACTATAGGATGGGTACCTGTCACGGCCTGTACGAACATAACACGTGTCACTGGTGGAACAGGTAGCCCCACGAAGGTCAGGCCCCAATGGACTTTGTGCCCCCAGGAGTTTATGGGTCTGTGGGGACATAGGGTGGCCTTACCTACCAGTGAACTGGACTGGACATTGTACCTGGGGGTGGCCTTATATACCTGCCATTGTTCTCCCCACATTGCATAGATGCCTCTGTAACTGGGAGGTGCTATGCTTTCAGTTTTTGCAAGTGTGACGAGCCCCCTGGTGGTTCCATCCTTTGGAAATGACCATCCCTGGGGCGGGCGTCATAACTAGAAGCACCAGTTACTGCTCTTGCAGAGCACAACACTCAGGCTCTGAATTAACACCCAAGTGGCCCTCATCCTGTTAACAAATGAGGCTGATCAGATCAGAAAGGTGGTGTTGCAAAACTGAATGGCCTTAGACATGATAACCGCTGCCAAACGAGACGCCTGTGCCCTTTTAGGAACACAGTGTTGTACCTTTATCCCTGACAATCAGCAGAACATAACAGCAGCCCTGCAAGGGGTCTCATGGGAGATTAAGGCTGTTGCAAGCCTTACTTATGACCCCTTGCAGAGATGGTGGGCATCCCTAGGCTGTGGCCTACACTGGGCCCTAATGGTCATAAGTAGCATAGCTGGGATCCTAGTGAGCTGTTGCTCTCTGTATTGTTGTTTTGGGTTATGGATTCAGGGCTCTTCCCTATGAGCATGTGTCCCTGCCCAGAGGATGCCCTCAGCCTAGTGGGTGGAGTGTAAGGAAAATGGATGTGCTGTGATCGAGAATAGGCTAAGGCAGACATCTGGTCCAGCATGACTCAGTGGGTTTGGAGCAGAGGTGCACAACCTCACACATTACATAACCATGCCATGTGAGGTGCATTAGATGATCACCCACATGAGCTGGTACTTGGCTCAGAGCCACTATTGTCTGTAAAAAGTAAAATTACCCTGCTAACACTGTACATACAGCTCACTCATGCCCAAGAAGATAGTAAAGCTATGTCAAAACTGCCTACGATTCCTCGAGTGTTTTTCCCAGCTACCTGCCACTCGCCCACTGACTCCCGTTGGACCTCAGTTAGAACTTGATACCATCCTAAACGGTTTAAACTTTACCTTGAAAGCTGTGAGGGGATGAGAGTGAAGGGAGGAAAACCAAGGTTGATCCAGATTTCAGGAAGGTTAATCTCAGAATAGTCTAACATCACTAAGCATTTTTGGTATGAGAGTCTGCATAGCAGTTTTAAAAAAACAGTGAGAAAAGTAGACATAGTATTGAAAAAGGAGTTGGTGTTATAATTTTCAAGAAAAGGTAAAAGTCAGATTCATTGTGGGTAAGCTTTAGTATGGTGACCTATCTGCTACTCTATGAAAAGTTGACAATAAAGACCAAAAGAAGTGGGGAAATAACCTGATTCAAATACCACTTTCCTCTCCTCTCCTCCCACAGTTCTTTCAGTGTGGCTGCAAAGCCATTTCCAACAACACTGTGATCCCAGTATGTGCCTTGCTGGCCCCCTTACTTAGGCAGCCTCTGGGAGGTGCGAGATGACCCCATCAGAGGTCTGTGCCCTCAGGGCTGATCTTCAGCCTCTTGCCACTGGGTACAGTGAGACTTTTGTTGCCCGGTTGAGGTTCTGGTCTTCCCAGTGGGCACCCACTCTCAGATACAGGCAGATGGCCCATAAATAATAGATCTCTGTGGGATTTGTGTATATCTCCAAATCCATCTACTTCTCTAAAACTCTTCTTTCCAAATTGCACACCTAAATTTCACCTCTTCCATGCCATAGCCTTTTCAGAGATAGAAAAGCAGCCACTTGCAAGGACCCACTGTTTTTCTAATATTACTAAAGCTCACAGCACAACATGTCATAGAATTTCCACAGAAAAGCTCCCGGTAGCATTTTAGAACACTCTTGGGTTCCATATTTTAATTTTATCACAATGAATTTATTTGAAGTTATTTTATGTTTAGACCAAATAGAGATACTCTGTATTGTTTCCGGCCCATGCTGAGGTAGCATTTGTGAAAGCTTGAGAATCCAGATGCTATGGGGGAACTGGGATTCATTTCTCCCCCTGGGGGAAAAGCTGCATTGCAGCTCTTGACTGGGCATTGCCAGCCCTAACCCTTTATGACTTCCAAAGCCACATCTCTTCATCATGTGTAGTCTGAAAGGGGACAGGAGAAAGGGAGAACAGACTAGAGAAAGGGAGATGGGGAGACAGCAATGTCAAGGAAGATACAGTATCTCTGACATGGAAAGGTTTGTTTAATGGTGTTGTCATCATTAGAAAGCCACGTTATCCACATGGAGAAAGAAACCATCAAAAGAAAGAAAATCTTTAAAGCAAAAGCATTCTCCACATACCACACTGGGTGACTAAGAAAGTTTTTCTTTTTTAAAGAATTGATATAAGGTATAAAGAAATCTAGAGATCAATTTAATTAAATAACTACCTATGGACAGGAGCTCTAGTTGTCAAGTTGGAGAGGCTCCTTGTCTTCTTTTCCCTCTGGTAGCTCATGAACTACCCCATATTTCAAACTCTAAAGTGCTGTGTTGGCCTCCACTTATTCCCCACTAGTGTTCTCTCAGCCTTGCCTGTCCAGTCACTCCTGCAGTGACCTCGACTCTTCCCCTTCTTCTGCCTAGTGGGCTCCTGCTCGGCTCACACAGTGACATTCTGACAGCACTGAGCATCAGGACTCTGCCACATGCCTCCTGCTGCTTAGGAGGCCCTTGGCAAAAGCCCCACAGGCACCCACTCAGCAAACCTGCATGCACAACCTGGAAATGCCCTGTGGGTGAGCCATTAACCAATAAGGACCAGGGGCCAAGGCATATGAGCCACCCTTTTTCTTCTCTGCACAGTTCCTTCAGAGACATCTTACATATGGCCCCTAAGACTGTCCTCCAGGATCCAGCAACCAGCTGTCCAGAAAAGGAGACAGCTTGACAACATATCTTTTCATTTGTTCTCCTTCCTTCCCTATTTTTTTTTCCTCTGTCTTTTACTCTTGCTCCCTGGACCACACTCTGTGATAAACATGGTAATGCTAAGTCATCCTGGTTTGCCCATGTCAATGTCTGTTTAAACTGTTGTCATGACATAATTATTAATAGCTTCCCCCTTTACTTTCAACATTGTCCCTATTGGATGATCAATTATATGGTCTGTGTAATTATCTGCTCTGCGTTTGAACTTCAGAAAAATTTAGGCTGGTAAAATGGATCCAGATTGTGGCTGATTACAAAAGTGTGCAGTGGAGAGAAGGAATTGAGTGCCTATGTGAGCCAGGCAGGCACTTACTGTATGCATTTGGGATGAAACAGTGAATAATAGAAAGATCCCTACCAGATGCTTACAATGCTAGTAGGAGGAAACATGCAATGATAAAAGTAATAAGGAATTACATTATATAGAATTTTTAAAAGTATTAGAGGGGGAAGGAAAACAGGGGAAATAAGAAATTGAGAGTAATGAAGGGGCTGATTGCAATTCCAAATATGATGGTCAGAGTAGGTCTCATTGTGAGGGTGACATTTGAGCAAAGACTTGAAGGAGGTGAAGGGGTTAGGATTGCAGTGAGAGGGGAGGATAACTACAGGCAGAGGAAACAGTCAATAATGCAAAGATCTTCAGGCTATATTCAAGAAACAACCAGGAGGCCAGTGTGGCTGAACTTGAATGAGCAAGGGTGATGTAGTAGACGGGCTCAAGTGTTGTTGTGGAAGAGTTGGTTCCTGAACAATTCATTTCCTGCCATCAGACAAAGGCCTTGTGCTGATTGCCCAAGCCTGGATTTTAAACCAGTTACTGGCAAGAGAGGTCAGAAAATTACCACAATCCCACACTTGCCTTATGAGTCTAAGAACCTTCCCTTGGAGTTTTAGCTAAGCCCTCAAAACCACAGAGCTGCTACACATTTGCTAATGGTGGAGTGGATGGTGGAACCCAACCACAGTTTCCTCTTCAGTGACTGAAACTTGAGAAAGATTCCTTTGCAGTCTCTAAAGTTTGAGTCCTGGTCTGGACCAAATAACTCCTCTGTATTTGGCTATTATACCACTGGCTGTCATCAAACATTTTTCAACCACAAAATCTAGAAGAAAGGTGTAGATGATGTGGGTGGTTGAAGAGATATGCAAGGAAGAATTTACTGGTAGTAGCTAGCTGTTTCTGAGAATATTGAACCCACTTCTCTGGGAGTCCACAGAGGTAGGTACTTTGCCTATATGACTTAGGGGAGACCCGGAGAAATAGCCTCTGAGTAGCTTTATGAGCTTAGGTTCTTCCAAGCTTTTGTCTTTTTGAGTCCTGGAACCTAGGGTAGTGGTTCAGAAGAATGACAGGACCTAGCTCTGTTCCTGCTGTCTTCCTGCAGCCTCCACATTCATAACTGTCTTTTAGATGTCAACTTGGATGGACAGGCTCTAAAACATGAGGACATAGAGATGATCTAGTGCTAATCTAGTGCCCTTGGATTTCAAACATGAAAACTGAGCTCAGGAAAGGTCAGTGACTTGCCCAAATGTACAATCTTTGGAACTCATATTCCATCCTCTTAATCTAGTACTGCATCTACAGCACTAAACTCACTTAACTTTAAAAAAGTTGTCTATTACTATAGATTATTTGAATCCTGATTACAAACATCAAGAATAAACCTTAAAGTTATTTAGATGGTGGCAGATGACTCCTGTAGACAGAAGGAATTATCTAAGACTTGAGTCATCAAGCTTGATGAGGTGGTTTTTACCTACTTAAAAGCCAGACAGAGGACATGGGAGAATGTGTAGGATATATACCATTATGAACATTAACTTCCAGAAATGAAAATAAATGAAGGTGAAATTCTACCCAAAATAACACCATCATAGCAATACATACTAGAATTTGAGGCAGAAAACTTGAGTTTGGGGTGTCAAATCTGCCATTTCTGCCTGCATGACCTTAAGTCAAGGCATGTTATCTCTCTGAACTGCAATGTACTCATCTGTAAATGGGGACATTTAGAATAAGTTCAAAGAGTTTTTATGAAAATTAAGCCAGAAATAGATATTAATGCACCTTGTAACCTTGAAAGCTCCTCACAAATGAAAGATACTTTTATTTCCAAGTATAGACAGACATTGCTCTGGTGGAGGTAAAAAGGTGATATGGTCCTCATTAACTTAGATTGCAGACAAAATAAATTATTGTAAACAGTTTATTGTTGCAACCTCTGAGTCTGATGACACTATAATTTATAAAGTGATTCATGTGCTTCAAAGATATTTAAGGCTATGTGTTTCTCTAAGACTTGCAGTTCCCTCTCTGAGAGATATTAAATATGGACTCATCTGTCTTACCTGAGAAGCCACTGCTGGGACCTGGATGTCTACACTAATCAAGGTTGGGTGGTCAAGAAGGATTAGAACCTGTGTCCATGAGACAAAACATATGCTGGCTAATGGGGGATGAAGTTGGTAAAGGGGGCTTCTGATCAACAACAAAGGCTCATTTGATTGACCATGAGCTACTGCCTCACAGCTAAAATGCTTGGCCACCATTTTTGTAAAGGCCTAGAAGCTGGTGACACAGGAAATGTTCTTTGATCGTGTGCCTAATATTTAAGATGTGGGCTCTGGAATCAGATTGCTCAGATTCTGCTTTTGATCCTATTAAGTTTTAGTGGTGTAACCTTGTGCAACTGATTAAATACCTCTAAGGTTTAGTTTTCTCATCGGTAATATGGGGATAATAATAATCCTAAGATTTATTGTGAAGATTAATGGAAGTAATTTATAAAAGGTATGTAGGCCAGTAGCTGGCATATAGTAAGTAAACTGTCAATGTCCATATCAAACTCATTTAAGTAGGTTCTTTCTCTACCTTTAACAATAGATATGAATACTGTATATTTTAAGCCATAAGTATTATTCCTTCTTGTACTTGAATATTTAGTATTAAGAAAAGAAAAAGGAAAAGTAACTTTAAAAAAATACATGGAGTTAGCTTAGCATGGCTTTTTGATAGACTGGCATTTGATCATATTATGATAACAATCTTTTGCTTCTGTTTTTTCTCCTGTTGAGCTTAGTTGTGAAATGCCATTCTGCAGAATGTACACTTCATTTCCTGAGAATTGTAGTTAGGTCATACTACCTCTTCCACTAAGTCTTCTGAGTGCCCCTGTAGGGCTATCCGAGAGGAATCTGCAGTAAAAGGCTTCCCAAGAGAGGGACAGGTTGTGTCATTCAAGAAAACACCACATATAGCCTGAACTAGCAAGGAATTTATAGCAAGGACCAGTGCCTGGGCTGGGGCACTGTGTCCTAGGATTTCAGTCTTTTTTTCTACAAAGTGCTAAGATTTCTGGAGGTGAAGTTTCAAAATCTCTCCCTTTCATTCCAACGGGACTCTCAGCCTGTAAACTACATGTGTAAATAATTCTCACACCTCACCAATACACTGCAGGATGCTTTTCCTGTGCCAGGGCTTTTTGTGTGAAGACACTCAGCCAGAAATGCCTGATGTGTCTTCATCCCCATCAGCATCACGGTGACTAGGAGCAATGGATTTGGGGTTATACTAGTTAGCTAAATGTTGCTCAAGAGTAGCAAAATCCTACCTACATTCTACAATAAACTGATGTGAATAAAAGGTAAAATACAAGATAGCTGCTGTCTCTACGTTGGCTAGTTGAGATTTGTGTGTGTGTGTATAAACTCCATTGGAAAAGAAACAATAGAAAAATGGAAATAAGTGAATTTTGCATAAAAAGAAAAAGAAGAAAGAGGAAGACCTTTAGGAATCTTGGACGATATGGGTAAAAGGAAAAGCATTTTTATCCTGCTTGGAAACCCCCATGAGAAAGGACAGCACATCATCTCTGCACATTCCCTGAGGGCCACCTCATCACCTTTCCCTGAACCATAGTAAGCTCTACCCTGGGGAATCATTCACATCATTGCCCTTCCTTATGGAGCTAGTGACTCGGAGATGTTGTTTCCAGTGAAGAATTACAAAGTATGACTTTGCTCAAATTCTGGATAAGCAGAAGCAAATGAGCCTTAAGTGACACCAAGAGCTCTTCCTGGAAAGAACCATGACAACAGCAATTTTCACTGCCTCAACTGTGGGCTCCCAGCTGGAAAGTGAGTCACCCTGCATACATTCTCACTGACCACTTTGCCAAACTTCTCTGTAGTATGCAGCGAGCTTAAGTACAGTCTTGGGTCTCTTAATGTTGGGGATACATTCTGAGAAATGCATTGTTAGGTGATTTTGTCATTGTGCAAACATCATAGAGTGTACTTACACAAACCTGGATGGTGTAGCCTACTACACACCTAGGCTAAATGGTATAGCCTATTGCTTTTAGGCTACAAACTTATATAGCCTAAACAAGTTTGTGTATTTGTGTTTATTTTTAACAAAAAGTCTTTGAAAGTTTTTTAAAAAGTAAAATAAAAAATTGAAAAAAGCTTATAGAATAAGGATATCAAGAAAACATTTGTGTATATCTAAACATTTGTATAGCCTAAACAAGTTTGTAGACTAAAAGCAATAGGCTATACTGTACTAAATACTGTAGGCAATTGTAACACAGTGGGAAGTGTTTTTATATCTAAGCATATCTAAACATAGAAAAGGTCTAGGAGGTGTTAGGTGGACTAAAAAGTACCACACAATGTTAATAAACATAGAAAAGGTACAGTTTAAAAAAAGGTGTAGGAGCTAAAAAATGGTACACATGTATAAGGCGCTTCCCATGAATGGGCCTTGCAGGACTGGAAACTGCTCTGGGTGAGTTAGTGAGTGAGTGGTGAGTGAATGTGAAGGCCCAGGACATTAGTAGACACTCCTGAAGGCTTTATAAACACTGTACATTTAGGCTACACTAAATTTATAAAAAATATTTTTCTTCAATAATAAATTAAAGTTACTATAATGTGTTTACTTTATAAATTTAAGTTTAAAAAAACTTTTGAGTCTTTTTTAATAACACAGCTTAAAACACATTGTACAGCTATACACAAATATTTTCTTGATATCCTTATTCTATAAGCTTTTTTCAACTTTTTATTTTACTTTTTAAAAAACTTTTTAAGCCTTTTTTTAAAACATAAAGACAAATACACATTGGCCTAGGCCTACAGAAGGTCAGGATTATCCATATCACTTCTTCTTCCTCTGCATGTTGTTCCACTGGAAGGTCTTCAGGAGCAATTACACACATGCAGCCGTCATCTCCTATGATAACAATGCCTTCTTGAGCACCTTCTGAAGGACTGGTCTCAGGCTGCTTTACAGATAATTTTTTTTTTATAAGTAAGAGGAGTATACTTTAAAACAATGATAAAATGTGTAGTATTAGCAAATAGATAAACCAGTAATATAGTCATTTATTATCATTATCAACTATTATGTACTGTACATAATTGTATGTCATATACTTTTATTTGATTGACAGTGCAGTAAATTTGTTTACACCAGTGTCCCCACAAACATCTGAGTAATGGATAGTGCTGTAAGGTTATGATGGCTCCCAGGTCACTAGACAATAGGCATTTTTCAGCTCCATTATAATCTTATGGGATCACCATCATAAATGTGGTTCGCTGTTGACTGAAATTTCATTTTGCAGCACAAGACTGTATTTAAGGTTTCCATTATAAAACTAAAACAGTAATCTCCTCTTCAGTTTTGTAACTCTTTTAATGTCACAGGGAAGTTTCTAATGAGGTCTCTGTTAAGCTCTGTTCTTTCTTAAGGATAGAGCTGAATCAACCTGGTGCTGCTTCTTTTTGAATTGATCGTCTTCAAATGCAGTTGGTCTTTCAATTTCCATTCTTCTTTGGAATATTTACTGCCCAACCCATAGAAAACTAGAGAGGAAGGAACTTCTCCAAAAAGCAAATTGCAGGAGCATAGAGCAATAACTGGAGGAGTGGGATTTTCCAACTTCCATTGTAACCAGCAGCTATGCAAGCCTCCACATCATCATCCAACCAGAGGATTTTTGTTGCAGTTAATAGGTTGTAATCAGATTTGGCATTGGTCATGTCATGGATCATTGGTCTTTTCAGAGTTCTTAGTCATTATTTTAAAATTTGGGTTGCAGAAATCATTCCTTTATCATCCCTTCCCAATAACATGTCCTGAGTGGCAACTTCAGTTGTGCCTTATGCTAAGGAGAACACATGCCAGCCACAAGGACAGGAGAGAAGCAAAGCTATTCATTGAGCTCCCTTAGGTAGTATGTGGTGAATCCAATTCAACCCATATTTTCTATACTCAAGTCTTGTAATCACTGTGTCAGTCTCAATTCACTCAGCAAAACAGAAACCATTCAAGGTATTCTGAGCAGAAAGGGGTTTACTACAACTTTTCACAATTATGGGAAGAACTTAGATAGCAAAGGTCGGGAAAGCCACTGCTGATTTTCAGAATATCTAGATGGAATAGAAGTGCAGGAGATTTACCACTGGTAATTTCAGCTTCCTGCAGCACAAAGTGGTCGATTCTTAGGATACCTGAGAGTTTTCCACAAAACTTCATCTGTTCTGCTTGCTAATGCCAGTGAACTAGCCACTGCTAGAGAATAATGTTTTCTTCTGATTCACTATCTAAATCTCATGGGAGTGCTTCTCGCTGACAGAATCTAATCTGGAAGCCTGTTAGTAAATAATTCTGGAAAATATAGCCCCCGGGCTGCTTTCCTGTGATACAAGGGTGAGTGTAGAAGGAACTAGATGGCATTGAGTTGACCAGTCTGGTCTAACCACTACTTCTACTGCCCCCCAGTAGAGGAGGGAGTGAACAGCACTACCATAGTAGTAAATGGTACTACCATTCATGCCTCTAACAAATATTTATCGGACATCTTCATGTGATAGACACAAAGGATCAGGGAGCTTTAAAAGTCAATATTCCTGGCCTCTGGTGCTTATCACACCACCCACTAATTCTATTCAGGTAACTAAATGGTTTTCCTTCTGTTATTGTCCTTTACCATAGAATTTACCTTATTTAGTGAAATGCATCAATTCACATTAAAACAGTAAGAACTGTAATTTTTGCAATCATTGTTTATCCTCCCCACTCCCTTAGGTTTATCCATTACTTATTTATCTTGAATAGTCTCCAGTGGTACAGGAGGGAGAAAATACGGGTTCTCCATTTAGGGTTTTTAGGATTAGTGCCTGAGATACCTTG